>NC_000006.12:161131396-161282911 GCF_000001405.40 Homo sapiens
TCCGAAACTTCAAAATATTGACTGTACAAATTACTCAAGTTTATTTTGGCCTAATTATTCTTAAGAAAGGTGGTTCTTTTTTAGAAAAGGGAAGCAGAAGCTAATTGAAATTCCATTACTCAGGCCTCTAGTAAGTGCCCCCTTCATGTAGTCACTATTCACTGAGGGCCATGAGGGTGAGGCCCTGCTGGGGGGGCAGGGCAGGGCTGTGAGCTCAGGAGCCCATCCCTGTGCTCAGAGAGATGGGACTCCAATGAGGAGACACACTATGTAGGTGCAATTTCTGATTTCTTAGTTTTTGACCAAAATAGCAGTAATTTCAAACAGTTGAATGTCGTGATCGATACTATGTCAGTTGGTGATGAATGCTGTGAATGGTATTGAATGTCCTGGACCAAGAGGAACAGCAACATGTCCTTAGTCCTCAGCCTAAGAAGTCCATCGAGTCCTTCTCTCAAATTGTACGTCTGTTGTTTTCAAAAGCCATTGTGACAGGTCAAAACCCTGGAGTATTTGGTTTGTGTTTAAATGTACTTGACACTCTGGAAACACTCAACCTAAGCCCTGGATGCAGGAGGCAGGGATGCTGAGGATGTGAATTAGAGTGCTGGGATGTGCTAATGCCTAGGGAGGCATCAGGCACTGTGCTGGCTTGGGGGATCCTGTGATGACTGGAACCTGGGCCTTCATTACGGGCTCCGGTTTTGGAGTGCAGAGGGATTGGCATTTGTAAAGACTGCTTGCTTACCCTTTGTCTGGCATGCACATTCAGGATGTGACTTCAGCTTCATTCATCCTGGCCAAACAAAAAAAGTTCAAAAAATTGTTTTCAATTAAATTTCTGAAGATCTTTGTAGGGAAGCACCCTTCTGAGATGAAACCAATTTCTTGTCCACACAGCCACCATATCCTTATATAGATGGGGAAAAATCCAGAAAAGGGGGATTTTCAGCAGCTGGCTTGAAGCCCCTGAATGGTCCCTTGGCAGAGGCAAAGAATGAGCCCAGAGCCTGAGATTCAAGATGCTGGTCTCTTCTGAACACACCGTGGAGCAATGTGGTGCACCTGCAGATGCCGCACTCAGCAGCCTGGAATGCCAGCTCTCATGCCCTCACCTAGAAACGCCTTCTCGGCTGAATGGCTGTTGGCTCTCAGCAGCACCTGTCAGCATAGCTCGGCCGCTTCTGCCCCGTGCCAAGGCGTGACTAGGACCAGAAGAATCAGAAAGCATGGTGGAGTCCGAAAGCATTGGCAAAGCCAGCACATCTGTGAGCATGTTACACATGGGCTTGCCTAAGTATTTCCTTCTCTGTGAACATCACTTAGGAGCTACGTCAGTTAAGGCATCGTGAGACACAGGTGTGGTGGAGGCATTATGAGGGGACTACTCCACAGGACCTTGGAGAGTTGCATTTTGGGGGGCTCTCCTAGAAGCTCTGGGGGAAGGAAGCAGTGGCCTCCTGGTCAGCTACAGACACAGGCGGGTTAGGGCCCGTCTTGCTTTCATGTTCTTTTAAACACAAATGGCAGCTCACAAATATTCCTCTAAATATTCCTCCATACAGCCTAGGGCCCCTCAAGAGACGTGCAAACCAAAGTATTTGTTTTTCTCACTTTATCTTTAACCTAGTATGTGGCAAGTCTGGACCACTGCTTTAGAGAAAGCTGGATTAAATCTCTTGAGCAGAAGTAGAGACCCTAGAGAATCTTCACTGGATACCTTGCTTCACACTTTGGTCAATATTTATGAATAAGTTCTAAAGCCTATGCGAAGCCCATTCTGTTTTGCTTGGGGACCAGCCAGACCACTCCTCCACTCCAGTGGGGCCTTTTTTGTGTCTTTCACATCACTGTTACAAGTTGTGGCTGGACAATTAATGACATTTAAATCACTGTCCCACATATGGATATATTAGAAAAACCCTAATGTTTTAAAATTTTTTTAATCATCAGCTGCTTTTACAAAGCTTTGCATGCATTTGTTTAGAGGATATTGCAGTCGAGATATTCCAGTACTACTGTGTGATCATATGAAAAAAGTTGGTTTTCTCTCTGTCAAAGTCAATAGGGTGGTAGACTAACTCACAGAGTGCCTTACTTCTTCCTCCCGATTAATCGTGTTCACTATATGGTGGCAGAATCAGTCCAGTCCCCCAGACCTCAAGCTGCATCTTCCAAATGGTTGGTGTCTTTTTAAGAGTCCCCGTGGGCTGGCTTTCCTGGAAGAAGTCCATTAAATTCCCTGCTTCTATAAGCTGCAGGAGTCGCCTAGGATATGGCCCGTCACGTCTGGGGATGACCCTGCACTGCTCTCCAGATTTCACTCAAGGTTCGTATTTTTCTCTGCCACCTTGAACTACAGAACAGGCTCTCAGTAGCGTGATAAGCTTTAAGCTAGAATGAGATGGAAAGGTGGGAAAGACAGACAGGAAGTGTAGCTCTTAGTCTATGGGGCTCTCCTTAGGGGACAAAAAGATGGCTTAGGCTCCGTGGGTTTTCAACTCGTAGAAAAAATAACCCTGGGAACCAAAGCAGTTGTTGTGTGCTGAGGAGATGGTGACCTCCGTGTGACCTGAACATGGGTGAAGGTATTTGAGGAGGCGTGATGAGCTTCCGTCCAGGAGTACCCGTGGTTGTCTGTGTCATTAAGGGCGCAGGGTGTAAGGAAACCAGGTTCCCAGGCTGCATAACAAAATTGTTCTTCGTGGACAGGTCAAATGACTGATGAGAAAGAGGTCCAGATCTCTCCCCAGCACGCCACATTCTCTTTCGGCTCTAAGGCAATTCAAAACTTGGCGCTCACTTAGTTATTTCCTAAGAGATTTCTGCCTGCATTCCTCCAGCCTGGAACCCAAGGCCCTAGCAGGCAGGCTGTTTGCTTGCTTGTGTGTTGTGTGATACCAGAGCCAATTCAGAAGAAAATTGAATGTCTGTGGGCCCCCGGATCTATGTTTTTAGAACTTACTTAGATTACTTCTGTGTTGAATGGAAGAATGAAAATGAGAAAAATAACACATTTTTAGTACGACAAGAAAATTTCTGAGCATTTTTGAGAGTAGCAACATAGAGGCAGCTTTCTAGTCTTTCATCCTTGGCTTAGTGCTTTAGGATTCTTAAAGTGTGCTCTTTTACCCTTGACACACCCCAAGAGGTAGATATCGTCACCCCCATTTTGCAGATGGGGAAATGAGTCAGCAAGGAAAAGTGTCTCACCCAAATCCTACAGCCGATGAGCTGCAGAGTTCAGGTGAATGGCGTAACTCAGCATCACGGACCCCTCCGAGAGACTGGCCCGATAATCCAGGCGCAGGTCCACTAGGGCGTGCTCACAGACACGCAAGGCTACACACCATGCACACCTCCACTTCTCCAAGGACCCCTCTTGCCTAAGGTCACGTCCTGGGCTTTTGCCCACAGATCTCTGCACACGGTGCTTCATGCCCTGTGCAGGGTGGGCAGATGTGCTGGGCGCTCCCATCAAGCCTGCCTGCAGGGCCGCCAGCGAGTTAACTCAGGCCCTAGGCTCTGCAGTACGCTCTTCCCACAAGTCAGCCAGGATTTTTTCCCTTTTTCACTTCTGTGGATTCAAATAATTCATTTGTATCAACAAACAAACAATGCATTATTGTCCTGTAAGCAGAGGGAGCTTCTCTAGAGCTGTCTTGTAACTCCTTGGCTTACCTAGTTTGGTTGATAAACAATGACTAAATGAGCAAATAGCCAAAAACATAACTGCATAGAATAGGCCTTATAATGTGTGGCCAGTTTTTGTATAGAGCTGTTCATTCCTTCTCATGTTACCACAGCAACACAGGCAGCTTTTCTCAGCAACTTTCAGCTGCGCACCTGGAGAAAGACATATCCTTCCTAACTCATGCTCCAAATACCTATCGGTCCAAGTGCCATTGGTGTCTTGGCCTAAGATGATTTAATAGCTAGCATTTGTTCTGCAAAAATAGCACTGCTTTTAGTTTCTTCTTCTTTTGCATTTTTGGCACCTGTTGGCTGACAGCAGTCTGCAAAGGCCGCTGGAGATGCTACAGGGCAGAACTATTCCGTGGAGTAAAATGGGAGCAGACAGGAGCCCGGAAGGAAGGCAGAAGCCTGGGGGTTTTTTGTACATGGGATGTCGGCTCTGATTTGACCCTCATCAGAGCAGGACCTGGCTCCTTTAGGGCTGCAGACAAGCTCTACATGCTGGGAAGGGGCGAGGCATTTTATAAAGTGAAACTGCATTTTATCAGGGGTGACTTTGGCTGTCACTGCTGAGAGGAACAGTCGATGCAAGCTCATCTCACAAATCACTGCAGAATGCCCAGGCTGTACGTTCATGATGTTTGTGTTCAATTTCAAGATCCATTTCTTCAGGGAGTTGGGTCCATCTTCAAGACTTACGCCAGGAGACTGCACTGCAGAGACCGAGCGAAACTCTCCCTTGCTGTGTGCCAGGGACACGCTTCGTTGGTCTCCACGCACGTGCTTGCCATCTCTGCTCTCACAAATGCTCACGGGCTCCTGGACCTGTGTCTCCTGCCAGGAGCTGTGCTGGCCTGCCCACCCCTCTCAGCTGCCCACACCTCCGCGGCAGCTGCCTCCCGTGAGTAGGATCTGAAACACCAAAGCCACGGGCAAGGGCAGGATGGAGGGGCAGCGGTCCATGTCAACATACACCACAGATGACCCAGAAAAGCACTTTAATTTTTTTTTCTTGGAGGCATAATTTAGTCATCTCACCTAAAGCACTTTTCACTTTATCTCTGGCAACCAAGGGTTACAGAAAACTCAGCACCAAAGGATGAAAGGGGAACTTGTCCCCTTCGGTCCCCAGCCCTGCCCTCCCCTGCAGCCTAAAATACCCTTTCTATGATCACAGAACAAAGTTCACACTCACCACACAGCCATTCTCACACACACTCGCACAAAAAGAAAACCAAAGCCCACTAAAGCACATGGGGAAAAAAAGATTACAAAACATCTTCCTCCCCATCCGGCCTTGAGACCAGACTCCCTGGCTGGAGAGGTCGTGACTTCCGCCGTGCCCAGCAGGGGCTCACCCAGCCTTTGTCACCGTGTCCCACTAAGGAGGATATGCAGAGGCCACCAGTTCCCCAAGGTTCCCTTCGGATGGTGACACCTCCCTGAGTCAGTCATTCAGTTTCTGCTTGCTGTCAGAGTTGCCGTAGGCAGAGCCCTTGTCAATTTCCGTCACACCAATCATCCATCGAACTCCCACGGAGGCTGCAGAGACAAGGAGAGCAGAGTTAGGAGTAGCCCAAACAGACTACAGGGCCGTTTTCCCACAGAGCAAGTGAGAAGGCCCGTGGCCGCAAATCACAAGCGCCAGCTCAGAGCTGGCTGGCGGGTTTGAGGTGCCATCATCCTGCCGGCTTTACAATCATCCTTGAGTGTGGACATCCATGTGACATTAAGACAAAGCAAGGCTGCTCTGGTGGGGGTTTTCCTCCTTGGACCCTGAAGGTGAATGATTTGGCAAGCCATGCACAGCCGTTCGCAGGGACTCAGAGAAATCCCTGGCTTCCTCTGCTGACCCCCAGGTAAAGAGGATTCTTTTGTGAATAAGGGACAGGAAGTTAACAGGGCATGTTCAGCGAAGTTTTATAAAGAACAGACCAGGAGCCTGGAAGACGCAAGAGCTCGAGTATCGAGTGCCCAACACGTTTCAGCACTGCTTTTGGTGCAAGCGTTAGAGCAGTGAGAAAATCCCCGCCCTCTCCTCTGACGGCAGGATTTGCCTACACCAGAGAATGGGCAGGACCCTCGTGGGAGCCCAGTTTAATATAGGAAGCTGGAAAGCAGGGCCTAATGCTCAGAAGTTGCAATTTCAACTACACCCTCTGGAGCGGGCAGATGTGGTGAGGTCCTTGGGTGCAGGGCCCAAGACTTAATCATTTGATGTGCTCAGCACTGGGCATGGGGCTTGGAAAACAGTCCATTTATAATACATGCTTAAGAATGGATAGACGAATAAGTGAATGAAATCCCCCAAATCATGATGCACAGGATTATCTAGCATTAGCATCGCGGTCGATAAACTAACTGGGACATGGATGCAAGAGCCTGGGATGGGCGAATCCAGCCCAGCCAGCAGGAGGCACGCATCTCCCATGGGTCATTTACAAACTGGAGGGCTCCTGCATGGAGCGTAACAGTAACAGTGAGAGTGGAGTTATTGTAGAGCAGAAAGAAGTGAGTAAAACGTGGACCGTGTGGCCTTGGAAGAGGAGTAAAGAACACAAACACAAAGTCCTTCAGGGAAGAATGCAGTCAGGCGCAGGCTCAGAGTAATGGGGCACGGCAGTCAGCTCCTCAGATGCTCCTGGAGACGCCGTGTCCACACTGCACCCCTCAGATGCTCCTGAAGACTCCCTGTGTCCACACTGCACCCCTCAGATGCTCCTGAAGACTCCCTGTGTCCACACTGCACCCCTCAGATGCTCCTGAAGACTCCCTGTGTCCATACTGCACCCCTCAGATGCTCCTGGAGACGCCCTGTGTCCACACTGCACCCTGGGCAGTGCTCAGGCTTCTTTTTTTGGTACTCGCTACACAGCTGGGTGGCCCTGTCTGCAGCCTTCATCCTGAAGGGGCCCCTCTCCAAGACGGCGTGGGTGTGTGTGTGCCTTGCTGTTGCCTGCTATTGAAGCAGAAGGGTTGAGCTTGCCCCCGCCCTACCAGGGGCCCTGGCACCTGCAGCTGCCCCGGACCCTTGGCCAGCCTCAGCATGGCGGGGCATGGGGGTGCCCCTGGACCTGCCTTAAGGAGATGAGGTGCTTTCTTCTCCAACCTCTTATTTTTTTCCCTTACACGGTGTGGGTGTTGTTTTAATATTTTAATTTTTAACACTAAAATACATCTTAATCTTTCAAAAGACTGTATAGTAGGGTCTATTTGAGGAACAGGAGCCAGCTTGTCTACTGCACCCATATGCTGCAGCATTGGTTGGCTCAGTCAGAATGAATGAGCTAGGTTTATGTGCTGTGACCTGTTTTGGTGGTTATGATTCATTAGGTGAAAAGGCGAGCTGAAGAAACTCCACTGATACGGGTTTATAGATGCACATATGCTTGAGACTGGAACCACCACGTGCATCAAATTGTCATTAACGATTATCTGGGAAGTGGGCTCAATGGGAATGGTCTCCTGACACACTTTCCATTTTCTGCGCTTGTCTATTGCTTGGGCCTTTTATAGTGAGCATACTGCATCTTTGTGTTTGACAGAAAATAACTGAGTCCTGTCCATTTGGAAGAAGCACGTGATCTCTGTGTGCTTGGACAATGTGCCGTCTCTCCCGGGCTCTCCAAAGCCTCAGAGGACGCCAGGCTTGGGGAGACAGGGCCTTTCACAGGGAAACCCCAAAGTCTTCCTTGGCTCCAGGAAGCACGGACCTGCTGTTCACAGGGCAGGAAGCAGGCACGACAGGCTGCCCCGCCAGAGGCAAGGAGCAGGGTGCACAGGGGCTTGCCACCAAGAAGCAGCAGTAGCCCGAGAATACCGGTCACCTGGAGCCAGCGCAGACCCATGAAAAGCTCTGTCGCCGAGTGTCTCCACTCAGTGTCATCCACCTGCAGCAAAGGAGAAGCCACAGGCGCCCCCAGAGGAAGGCAGGGAGCTGCCCATCCGTCCCCGCCAGGCTCCAGCACAGGGCTTTCTTCAGAAGCAGGAAATGATGCCAATGAGCAGAGCTGTCTGCGGAGGACAGGGAGGGAGCACTCCCAGCTGTCGGGGAGTGAAGTGGCAGCTGCATCACCACCCAACAGGGAACGTGTGGAATCCAGCCCCAGGTGGGAGGCTGGACCGTCCAGGCTGCGGAGGGGGTCCCAGGCCTGGTATTCGAGGGCCTCGCACTCATCCTGAAGTCTAATCTTTCCCTGTGATTGCAAGCTGAGCCTGCTCCTCATCCACGGCACAACTGCCTATACAGATGGCCTTCGTCCCAGCCCTGATGCCACCTCTCCCAGGGTGGTGCTGTCAGCACCCACCAGCCCCTTGCCCTCCACTCACCCACAAAGAAGACGAGGATGAAGCTGGCCAGCGTCAGGGAAGACCCGCTCCTGATCATGCTGACCAGGAACTGGAAGAAAGGGTAGAGCACCAGCGAGGCCCAAAACAGCCAGTTCACGAGGGTCCAGGGCCGCCGGGGGGGCACCATGGGCGTCTCTGGGAAGGTGCCCGTCCTGTAGTACTCCTCCTGAAAGGCATCCTGGGGGACAGGAAAGAGGACCCTCAGACGCCACACGGGGCTCGGTGGCAGGTCCCTCCCGAGGCCCTGCTTCCAAGGGAATCGCAGAGATACACAGGTGCCACCGGGGCTCGGCAGAACTGGGGTCTGCAGCTCCTTCCAGAAAGCACTTTGTAGGCAGCTGCTGTCTTCTCAAAGCTGCATCTGGCCGCCCCTCCCACAGGGACACTGGGAGTGGTGGGGCCGCTGCAGCTGTCACTGAGTGCAGGGCGTGGAGCATGAACCCTGGCGCCAGGCCAGCCTGGGCTAGGATCCACCCTCTGTGGGCAGGCACCTGCATCCCTGAGCCCAGGCCCCAGTCTGTCTAATGGGGCAGCAGTGCCTTCCACGATAGGTCGGCGGGAGAATGGAGTGGATGCTGCGCCGAAGCTGCCCGCAGGGGACACTCGGTGGAGACCTGGCCCGCAGTCAGGAGGAGCTCGCCCAGCCCGGCCCGGCACATGCCCCGCCTTCCCGGCCTCCACAGCCAGTTCACCTCGGGCAGCCCACCCGCACCTACCACCCTGTTTGCCACTGGAGGGCTCTGAGGGCCGTGATTCAAGGCATCATGAATGACAAAGGGCTGGAGGGCTGCTGGGTGTGGCTCTCAGAGGTGACAGCACACTCAGGACTGGGTGTCCAGGGTGACTCTTCTAAGTGATTGTTAGACCGTGTGAAAGGTAAACAAACAGGCTCATGTCCTTCCACTAAGCAGATCCTTAGTGGGAACCATGTACTCATCCACATCCACCCACAGGGTGTGTGTGTCACCGAGCAGCTTGCAGGGCAGTTACTCCAGAGCCTCATGGCGCTCCTTGCAGTCCCTGGGTGAGAACAGGGGACTCACGGCCCCACATAAATGCACTGCGAAAGAACGCGGTGGCTCTTCCCTGGGTGTCTCATGTCACGGAGCTCCCGCTCAGGGACTGGGGCTCAGCCGCAAGGAGCTGCTGAACACAAGGGAGGGACCCAGGAACCCAGGTCAGCAGGCGTGCTCAAGCGGCTGGGAGCTGAGCTGAGCCAGGACCTGGGGGGAACAAGGAGCTGTGGCACCAGGATGCCCGCTGGCCCGTCTAAGGGCAGGTCCTGGCCGTGAGGAGGGGCCAGGGCAGAAGCTGCCTGCAGGGAGCAGAGCTGAACCAGGCAGCCACAGGGAATTGCCCAGGTTGTATGGTGGGCAGCTGCCTCAGCTATTGTAAAAGCTGCACGTGGCCGATAGCATGCACGCCACACAAAAATGGGTGTGGGTCACAGTGAGGCCCAGTTTGTGTCCCATGAACTAGCCTAGTAATGTCCCAGTTCTCTAAGGAGTCGAGTTTTCTGGAAAATGAGCTTCCTTATAATTGAAACTTATACTACTTAAATGCTGAATATTTTCCTTTAACAACTTGAGATAGAAAAGTCTAAAGTATCTCATACTTTTCTTCTTTTTCATTCAGGGTGTACTGAATCATAGGCTTTCTTGGCCTCTCAGAGGCACTTTTAATAATAGTCCACACACTAGGCCATTTTGGAAGGAGAACCCCCAACCCCTTCCCTGGGCAGTTCAGGTGCCTCTGCTCTGTCCTCGGCCCCCTGCAGCCCATTAACAAGCCTGGTCCGAAGCGTCACTTGTCGCGTGACTCTGCTGTTGGACATCAGCCAAGAGAAGCCATGGGGGCTCTCAGGGGAAGTCACATCATCAAGCAACTGAAGAACAATCAACGTGTGTGCCAAGCACTCCTACCCTCAAGCAGTGAGAGCGATCAGATGGTGGAGGAGACAAGGAGGTGAGCACCATGACGGTCAGCAGCACAGGCAATGCCCAGAGAGGTGGCACCCAACTCTGCCAGGGAAGCAGCGGCATTCGCCTGCCCACCAGAACGGGGTGATTTTCTTATCCCAGGTTGGGGCCACAGGGCACCTGATAACTAGACAAGGGGGGTGATATTTTTGTGCCTTGTTTTTTTTTAAAAAAAAAACAGCTTTCTTAAGATGTCACTTACATGCCATAGAACTCACCCATTTTAAAAAATGGGCAAATGTGGCTTTTGAATTTATTTTCCTTAACAGTCTTTATAGTGCTTTTTTACAGTAATATCACAAAGGGGAACTCACCATGGTGCCTTTTCTGTCTTGTTTCCAGAAAGACATTTGCTAGGCCAAGATTGTTTTATTTGCACCTCTAGCAAGAAGAAAAAAGCACTCCCTTTTCTAGGAGCTTCCCAACTCAGAACTTCCCATTCACTTTATTTTATTTTTTGAGACAGAGTCTCACTCTGTCGCACAGGCTGGAGTGCAATGGCACGATCTCCTCTCACTGCAACCTCCGCCTCCCGGGTTCAAGCAATTTTCCCACCTCAGCCTCCTGAGTACCTGGGATTACAGGCACCTGCCATCATGCCCAGCTAATTTTTGTAGAGATAGGGTTTTACCATGTTGGCCAGGCTGGTATTGAACTCCTGACCTCAGGTGATCCTCCTGCCTCAGCCTCCCAAAGTGTTGGGATTACAGGCGTGAGCCATTGCGCCCAGCCCCATTCACTTTAAAGTTTTCTTTGTCTGTGGTTTAAAACACTAAATCTCATCCCCTCCCCTCACTTATGGCCCATGACATTGCCACAGGACCTCCCACTGACTATCGGGGAGAGAACAGCACCGCCAGCTCTGGCCAGACTCCAGGCTCTGGCAGCAGAATGTCCGTGGCCCATCTTGGTTGTGGACCCGTTTTGTAATAAAATTTGCCCCGCAGGGAAAGGACTCGTGTTTTTTGTTTTTGTGTGTTACCGTGTGGCATAGTATAAAGTTGGAACTGGGAAATGTAGTTATTGAATGAAGGAGAGTTGGTTTGTTTCCAGAAAGAAGCATCAACCTACAAGCCAAGAGGAGAACGAGATCCTATTGAGAGGCGGCAGATCCCCGGACGAACGCCCCCTGCAGCCCGCAACAAAGGCACTAGGGAGGAAGCGTGCGAAGGAGACGTCCACACAGCACGTCCGCTCAGCTTTCCCAGGGCCCAGGAGAAGAAAGAAGGGAGAAAAGAACGGGAGGAAGAACAGGAAAGAACGAAGAATAGAAGAGAAAGTTGAGGAACAGAGAGGAAGAAGCGGCTCCTCTTAGTCAGCAAGTCTGGGCGGGGAGAGGCTCTGTGAGAAGCGCTCGCAAGCCTTGGTCTCAGCCCGCAGACACCACCCGAGTGCACGGCCAGGACTTGCAAAGGACTTACCATGGGAGCCAAGCCTTGAGGCTCCCTGCTGCCCTTCTAAGGAGCAATGCCCTTATGGTTTAAGTGAAAAAACAATTGCCAGTCCCCAAAATGGTTCTTGTCCTTGAAGGCCAGAGCAGGAGAGCACAGTGTTTCCCACGGGCCACCATGCCTGCACCCTGAACTCTGCACCCCACCCAGAGCTGCTCCCGACCTTGGCCTCCACAGGACGGCTCTGAATGTAGCTGTCCTTCACTTATTTCTCTTTAGAGACAGGGTCTTGCTCTGCTGCCCAGGCTGGAGTGCAGTGGTGCAATCATAGCTCACAGTAACCTTCAACTTCTAGGCTCAAGCAATCCTCCCACTTCAGCTTCCCCAGTAGCTGGGACTACAGGTGTGTACCGCTAGGTGCAGCTAGTTTGTAAAATTTTTTTGTAGAGACGGGTTCCCATTATGTTGCCCAGACTGGTCTCAAACCCCTGGCCTCAAGTGATCCTCCAGCCTCAGCCTCCCAAAGTGCTTACTCCCAAAGGGATTACTGGCATGAGCCACTGTGCCCAGCCTCACCTATTTCTTAATTTGCACTATTAATGGCCAAGTTATAGTCCCTTCTGCAAATGTCAAATTACAACCTGAAGAAGTACTTTAAGTTAGAAATGAAAAGTTAGAATCTGTTCACCCCATACAATTAAGAAACCGTGATGGCTATCGTGACCTCCCTGGAAAAAAGGGGGTTCTGAGGTTGTAGGTTCAGCCTCAGAGCGAGTTTACCTGGGAACTGCTTTTGTCCACAGAAGATCACACAAGGGCATGAATGGTTTCTCAAAGCCTTCCAACAACACGAGTCCCAAATGCTGACGAGCAAGAAATACTGTGCATTTTTCATAAAGCTAAACTAGGTCCACTCAAAGGATGGCCCTGTTTTCAGAGATGGTGCCTTTCCCATATTAAAGAGTATAACTGTGTCAGTGGTAGATGGCGAGTTTCTCTTTATTTATGTCCATGCTTGGAAAGACCAGAATGTTGGCACACCTCTGTTGGCTGCCTGCCATTCCCCTCCCATTTTGCAGAAACTTTACTTGTCCATGAAATTGAAAAGTCAGAGAACTACTGCCCTAAAATCCCAAGGTCAAAATCAACAGAACTGTCTTTTGACATACACCACACTTCTGACTGCAAGGTTGATCATTAAAATGAAATCCCACTTTGACAAACTGGGTCGGGCACCCAGATTTGGGGCACGTAAAGCTTTAGATCTAGGCTCCTAGCAAAATAGGCTGATACAGAAAGGAATTGTCCCTTGATGTCTATTCACCACTCTGCTTGGAGAAACCATGCACCACTTCCACTTGCTGCTCAGCGATCTTCTCGGAAGGGCAAAGGGCCAGCCTCCCAGGCCTGCTCACAGACACATACTGCTTAGAGAACTCGGTGTCGCCCCAGCCCTGCACGGAGAGAGAAAGGGCCTGGACTCCAGCACCTGGCTTTGATCAGTGAGCTGGAAAACTGGGTAAATCACTTCATCTTTCGGACCTGAATTTCCTCATCAGTAGTGTAAGAGCTTTGGAGTAGATGATCACTTTGAGAACCCTACCAAGTTGAACACTATCATTTAAATGTGAACATAGTTTAGAGGAAAACACCCTAAGAGACTTTTAACAAGAAGGAGATGTGCCTCTCAGCTTGGTTTACACGATGACCACACTCTGCCTGAATACAGGGGAGGAAGGGCCCGTTGAGAAAAATCTCCTTTGCCTTGATGGGCTTGAGGGCCCACGTTTATTGTAGATTTGTTTGTGTGGCTCTTTACAAAAGAGGCTCATTTTCTAAACCTTTTCTTAGCATACTCTGCTTTCGGCTAAAAGTAACATTTTCGGCTGGGCACGGTGGCTCACGCCTGTAATCCCAGCACTTTGGGAGGCCGAGGAGGGCAGATCACAAGACCTTGTGAGATCGAGACCATCCTGGCAAACACGGTGAAACCCCGTCTCTACTAAACATACAAAAAAATTAGCCGGGCATGGTGGCGGGTGCCTGTAGTCCCAGATATTTGGGAGGCTGAGGCAGGAGAATGGCGTGAACCCAGGAGGCAGAGCTTGCAGTGAGCCGAGATCGCGCCACTGCACTCCAGCCTGGGAGACAGAGTGAAACTCAGTCTCAAAAAAAAAAAATAAAAAAAGTAACATTTTATATGCTGCCTCAATGCTTAGACCAGAAAACAGAGCAAGAAAAATACTGCCTCATGCATGAAAACAGAAGGGGGAAATTCATATGGTTTTCTGTTTCTCTGTCGGGGCACATATGTGCATCGGTGCAGAACCTCGATAACTTAGAATCTTGTTGTTAAAAAGCTTCAGGCCTCAGACCATCTCCATCAAAGCCATCTGCATCAGAAGCAGTTTGCTGGAAGTACACATTTCTAGGTTCTACCTCTAACCTGCAGAGACAGAATCACTGGGGTTCGGGCCTGGGAATCTGCACAACTCATGCTCTAATGACAAGGTAAATGAGTCCATACATACAATTTGTAATTTGTGTATTTGTAAGGGGATACCAGAGAGCAATGCCCATAACCTACATAGGAAAGAGGCCCACATGCCAGCTCTGTGCAGTGATGGTATAAAGGCATCATCAGGGAAAAAAGGTATCAGGATCTTGATTCCAAAAACTGAGCAAACTTACAAGAGCTTCTCTGCTAAAGGTGATGGCAAGTCTTTTGGACTGAAATTTGTCTAAAGGAGGCAAATTTAGCTTATCCATCATACTAGAGTCTGTTAAGAGTCTTGTGGACTAAAATCCTAACACATTCCCAAGTGTAGGTAGGGTTAAAGTTCTTATTCAGCTGCAGAGGACATCCTGCAAAGCTCTGGGTAATTCTCTCCTTTGAGAAACAGAGAAAAACAGAACCCATGAGAGCCAGCCCGCATTTATGGAGTTTGAGGAAAAGGTCATCAGAATCCTATAGAATATATCTGATTCTAGGGAATGACTTGTTTGGGTTTAAAACATATGGTGAATCAGAAATAATTTTTTACTGGTTAATGAGACCTGGCCATAAAAATGCTTTTCTCACCAAGGGGAAGCTAAGCTTCGCTCCTTCATAAGATCCAGTAGTTATGAGACTCCCTTCCTTGCATATGCCTTTGGAGGAGAGAAACCAATGAAAGCAAAGGCCTTGCTCAGAGAAAGGACAGAACAAGTAGGGGGACCCTGGAGAACTGGACCACAGACAGGAACAGGACAGGGGGCACCACAGCAGGTTCGAACCCAGCCAAGACCAAGGTGGATCCTTGTAGGGCTTTATCCTGCTTATTCTGGAGATGCTTTGAGATCAGATTGACAACCAAATTGTTGATCCAGAAGCAATCAAGACCATGTCCATTGCTGCGGAGAACATCCACCCCACAAGCACATCCTGCCTTAGGACCAGAGGCAGGAAAATACGAGCAGGGGCGATTGGGGCCATTACTTCTCCCTTGGTCCACTACACCTAGAGAATAGCTTCATTGTGTGTGTGTGAACCCTCCTTAAAAAATATTTTGTCATGTTCTTCATTGCCAAGAGAGGGTCAGCTCCAGACTCACTAATAACTGGCTCTGTGAGATCTCGCCCACCGGAGAAAGGCCTGCTACCACACAACACAGCCACACGGCGCACCCACAGCTGCAACGTGAAGGGACCCCTGGCACCCAGTGCACTGACCTTCTCCTGGTAGAGCTTGTGCAGCCAGGCCGAGCACTCGTCATCGTCTTCAGGGATGTCTTCCAGTGGGATCCTCCTGCAAAGGCAGAGAGCAGCTAGCAGAGAGGAGGTGATGCCCCCCTACAACATACAGTTTCCAGTAACGGTGCTGCCGTTTTTTGTTTTTATCTGGGTCACCTAAATAATGTGGAACTGAAGAGAGTAATGCAAGTGATAGAAAGAAGGGGCGTTCCACATCCACACTGGAGAAACAGGCAAAAATGCAATTATGACCCACGAAGGAACAACCCAGGGGCCAATTCAATGGCACAGACAGATGCTGTGAGAACAGGGGACACCTGCCTCATTCCGTCTTCCCTCCCACCTCACAAAAAGGCCCCCAAAACCTGATATTTGCCTCTTCCAAAGAGGACAACACTGCCTCAGTTTCCACACGAGACAATCCAATATACACAGAATCGATGCATCAGAGACAATAACCTAGTAATTTCTTCTTAGCCAAGTAACCAACTTACTGGTAATGGCAGATTATCTCCCATCAAATGATTCCTCTGGCCTCTTGGTTAGCCTTGAGGCAGACTTTCTGCAAAGGTTTTGACAAGTCAGTGATGTGGATGGTGGGGAATTAAAGTTCTCCCAGATGGAAGTAGCCAGGGCATCTTCCCCAGGCTCCATGGCTCAGACAGGGGTCTTGAGTCACTGTGCACCAGCGAGAGCTCAGAGACTTGGGTGGCTCTGGGGACTGGTGCTGGCAAGGGCTTGCCACTCGATCATTTGCAAAGAGCCCATACTGAACACAGGGAGAAGTCACTCTGCCACCTTTGCCCTTCCTATTTGTTCTCAGGTTGATGGCTCTTGTGATTTCAAGGGACGTTCATTTATACTCAATTTTGTCCATGTCAAAGTCTGCATCTGGCTTGATTTCTCAGGTCACTTCACTCCCTTCTATGGCCTAAGAATATCTTAGTAAGAAGATTTGAGAGTTTATCTATCACACTAGAGTCTGTTAAGAGATAAAGGATGGGATTCCATCTTATAACAGATTACAATGAGCCACTTCCTTTTCAAGGCAGTATTGTACAGAGGTAAGTTTTTCACATAATTAGAACTTACCCCATAAGCTCCTCCGGAAATATTCTTTCACCTTTTCTGTTCCTACGCACACTGCACTTCTCTGGATCCTCTACTTCTTTGCTGTTTGATCTACTCTGCTTTGGAAATGAGATCTCTCAAGTCTGCCTAATATTTCTTTATTTGGAGAGTAGGAATGTAGTGAGTTTTGCCCTTTTCAGCAACTTGACATTATCGCCCTTGATGTTTCAGTGCTTTGTACTGATGTGTGTTCAGAAACATGCCTCAATCATTTTTAATGGGCAGCTACAACAAAAAGATGTGTGTTGAATAGCATCAATGCTAACCTTCCTCTGGGGTCAAGAGGGTGATCTGGCTTCGGTGAGTGAACGTGCCAGTACCATTTTTGGGCTGATTGTCACACATGCTTTGGAGAGTTGCAGCTACCTGAGAGGTGAAATAATCTTGTACACATCTTGGGGTTTTCCCAAATAACTGAGCCCAGCTGGCCATTGAGTGGAGCTCCTGCCAGCTGTCAGAGAACATGGGGAATAAAACCTCACTTTACTCCTAGGAGAAGGTCTAAAGGTCTCCTTCGGGCAGGTGGGTGATTCTCCTGCCTTCATATGCCACAGAACTGAGTCACAGGGCAGACTGTTGCCTGCACCATCAGACAAGAAGTCAGTGATGATGACGATGCTGTCCTATTTTCATGGGAAAGCCAGAGTCATTTTTAGATCAGAAGCTACTTAACTTTGGCCGCCAGTCCACCAAAATATCTCCCAGGAAAGCCTGGACGTTTGGTGTGGCCTGGTGGGAATGTAGGGCCCCTGGATTTTCAGGGTGCTGTGTTGTAATGTGGCTTCTGTAAGGTCTTGAATCAGAAGGTTATACGCCCCTGGATTAGTTCTCCATTAGTGGGCATTTCAGATTCTCTTGATTAGCATTCAGAGAAGATGATCCACAGCACAACAAACCAATACGGTCCCTGACCCGTCACACTGGGTTTTAATGCATGAACTGCCATTGTGTTTACTATCTGCAGCACCTTCCAATTCTGTTTCCCACTGATTTTGGTGACATTCTGGAGGTGTTCAGCCCATTCTATAAGCAGGCAGAGAGAACTAGTTTGACTAATATGTTCTGGAAGTGTCTTCAATAAAATCATTAATAGCCTGGAACATAACACATAAGTGAGACACTGCAAGAGTTCTGCATTTGTGTCTAGACCGCCTTATATAAATACACATCTGTGTGTATTCCATACAGCAGACCCATCGCCCACGAAAAGGGTCAATAACATATTCTCTTCACACCAACACCAAAATAATTATAAAATACAGCCTTCCATTTGTTCAACCTAAGCTCTTTGATACGAAAAAGCTGGTTACAGAGGATCCGGAAGGAGCTGGGACGGAAGGAGACTTCAGCAGATCATTCCAATAGTAGGATGTGTCAAATTCAATGCAAAACAGACTGCAAAGAAGTCAGTGTGACCCAGGGATCCCTGGAAGAAAGTCTCTAGGTCATTTGTGATGTGTTTACTTTGAAATGGGCACTGTCTTTTCTGGAAAGGAAACAGTTCGACTTACCTAACATACAAATCTGCATGGTATTTCTTTCCGTTTAGGACTCCCAGCAGTGTTGGATTTTCATTATTTCTGAAATTGAGTGTACAGTCATATACAGCTGAAACTATAAAAAATAAAACAAATACAAAGCAGTATATAGCGTGTGAACCCAATTTTGTTCTGTAGATACACACATTGGAAGACAATAATCAAATGGCTAACTGCTTATCTAGAAATGGTGTGGTCAGATTTCTTTCTTTCTATATGGTCCACATGTTCTACACTGAATGTGTATTATCTTTTGTAATCATAAAATCCCACTAGAACTTAGTAATAGAAAACAGGGTCATTGCTGAAGTCAGATCATTTTTTTCTTTTCTTTCTTTTCTTTTTTTTTGGAGATGGAGTCTCACTCTGTCACCCAGGAGTGCAGTGGTGCAATCTCGGCTCACTACAACCTCTGCCTCCCGGGTTCAAACAATTCTCCTGTCTCAGCCTCCCAAGTAGCTGGGGTTACAGACACCCACCACCACGCCCAGCTAATTTTTGTATTTTTAGTAGAGTCAGGGATTCACCATGTTGGTCAGACTGGTCTTGAACTCCTGACCTCAAGTGCTCTGCCCGCCTCAGCCTCCCAAAGTGCTGGGATTACAGGTGTAAGCCACTGTGCCCAGCCCAGATCACTTTTAAAGCAATACTGCAAAGTCAGGTCTAGAGGTACTACGACGATGATTTGTAACTTTCTAATGTGCCCAGCCTATCATTTCAGTCAAGAAACACCGAAATTTGAACAAGTGTGGATGATAAGAAAAATTATTCCAAAGGAAAGTAAGGATGTGTCTCAGTTACAGCAGCATAACCATTCTATGAGCATTATTTTCCCCTAGAAAAAGAAGGTAGCTACAAATTATCCTAGGAGAAGATACTGATGAGAAACTCCTTAAGGAATTGGATTGTAGTCAGTTGAAGCTTCTTGGATCAAAGGATGAAAGAATATAGGAAGGAACGAGTGAAGGAACAGAAGAGATAAATGCACAGTGGAAAATGGCTACTTGCTGAAGTGTAAGAGCACCAGACGGTAGGAGGAACGGGTGGGAACCCCAGCGGCTGCCACCTTTTCCCACCGGTGGGATCTTCTCTTGGGCAGCTGGGGCTAGGTCTTCTCCTGGAGAAGGGAGCCTCTGTCACACAGCTGCTGAGATGATGGAGGTCAGGCACTTACTGCAGGGACCAGCACATGGTTTGTGTTCAATAAATGATGAGCCAGACACTTCACTGGGAGCTTTACATATGTGCAAGTATTAATAAAAGGAGTGGGAGAATGGCAGGAAGGAGGAAAGGCCCTTGGTCTGGTTGGGAATATGTGGAACCAAGATTCAAAAACAATAAATCACCATCTGTTTTCTTCTACCTGCTGCCTGACCACCATGCGGGGTCTGCAGGTCCACTATCTGCTGCCCTGCAGGAGAGCCTGGAAGTGGGGCCCGGAGTGCCCGAGACCACTCACCCCCGCCTTGGGGCTGAAGGCGGGACTGTTCTCCTGAGCCCTCCTGAGGAGTAGCTGCCTGGTCAGGGTGGCTGGGAGAGAACCTGGATGCTTATCACATTTCCCAGGCATTTTAAAGCATAAATGCGTATCTACAGGAACAGCTGTTCAGGCTGTGTGGACCATGACTGTAGTGTCCTAGGGCTTCCCAGTAAGAAGGGGCCACAGAGCTCACGTAGTTCAGCGGTTTTGACACCTCCTTTCCTCCAACCTGTTCACACAGGGACCCATGCAGACAACAGAAGAGGCTGACTCTGGTTAAGCAAAGGTGGGGAGAACCCACGGGTTCCCCAAAGAGCCACCTAAATATCAGTGACTTGTCCAACTGTCTCATTTTCCAGAGGAAAACCTCAAAAAAAGTGTCTTGAATGGAGAGCCAGCCTGATTCTAACTGCAAGGCGCATCAGAAGGAGTGAGAGCAGCCGCTGCCAGCCCCCGCCAGCCAGGAGCAAATCCCAGCTCGCCATGTACTGGCTGAGTCACACTGCGCCAGCTCCTTAACTTCTCTGAGCCCCAATGTCCTTATCTGTGAACCGAAAGCAAAAAGAAAAAGCAATCTGCCTTCCTGAGTCCTGTGAGGACATCCCATGTGCACAGTGCGTACAGGGCCTGGCGTGCCAGACGCGCCCGAGACCGGTGTTGGCTGTTCTTGGAGACAGCCTTGTTAACTCTCCGTGATGAACAGCATAGAGCTGGACGGCCTTGCGAGGCAAGACTGAGGCAAAGCTCAGTTAGGGAGCCGCGCTGGCCCAACCCAGAGGGGATGGATCAGGAGGGGGACACGTAGCCCTGCAAGCTGGGCAACCCCACCAGGGGCAGAAGGTGAGATGTGCAGTGGGAGGCAGGGGGCCCCTAACAAGAGCAGCCTTTGATTAAATGTTTATCATGTACCAGGTGGGATGCTGAGCCCTTTACCCAGCTTTTCTCATTTAATCCTCCTTGCAGCCCTAACAGATTTTGCAGAACTCGGAGCAAACTTAGGATCAGAGAGACAAGGTCACTTGCCCAGAGTCACACAGCTGGTCAGCAGAGGAAACAGGATTCAGTGAGGTCTCCTGATCAGGGAGTGCACAGGGTCTTGACGCTGCTGGACAGTGCAGAGCGCAGCAGCCTGGGAGGTGGAGCGGGGGACGAGCAATGGGGGCATCCTTGGCCCTGGGGCCCAGGGTCGGTGTAGAGGCAGGGACTGCAGGGAGCAGGATAATTCTGGCCCTTGGGCTGAGCCCAGAGCAAGAGAGACATTTAGGCAGCTAGTGCCCCTCTGTGCCGCTGACCTTCTAAGAGGCTGGGCAGAGGGGAAGGACCTCGGAGGTGGCTGGCCCGGTGGGCCCTCGGTTCTGCAGGCCCAAGTGAGCTGCTGAGACTCCAGAGCCTGCTTTTCTCTCTCCTCTCCGGGAGTAAGAGCTGCCTGCCAGGATGTTGTGGGGATTGAAGGTGACACTGTGTGGAGTACATGGCATTGTGCCAATAGAGGTCATCAAGGAACACTGGTGACCAGGAGAAGAGGGATGAGGAAGCAAGGGAAGAATGTGGGGAAGAAGAAACTGGTTAACAGGGCTAAGGGCAGGGCAGGCACACAGAGGGGCGAGGGGGCCAGGGGCACAGCCCGCCTGGCCTGGGTCCCGGCAGCCCCAGAAGGGAGCGGGGCTGGCGCTGGCCCGGGTGTGCAGCAGGGTGTTAAACAGGCAGCAGAGGCCAGCAGGGAGGGCTACCCAGGGCCTTCAACCACCGCTAAAGCCGGTGGGTCACCTGGGGACTTTCAGAGGTACAGATTCACCAACTCTGTTGCTCCAGAGGTCCTGGTAGGGGGTCAGCCAGGGCTGGAGAAACCAAGGGGCCCCAGATGCAGGCCTGGGGAGGAGTTCGGGGCCCCCTGCCCTTTGCCTCAGAAGGAGGAGAGGAGACAAGAGGATAAGGCCGAGGAAGGCGGCAGCATGGGGCCGGGAGCCGCATTCAGCTGGGTTCTAGCTCCCTCCAGGAAGGAGACAGCTTCGCCTGAAGTGCTTTGCCTGAGAAGGAGCACAGGAAGCCGCCCCCAGGGCCTGGAGCCCACGGAAAGGGCCAAGGGACTGTGAGGGCGTGGGGAGGCCAGGTGTGCAGAAGGACACAGAGGGTGTTTCTGAACTGGAGACAGAAGGGTCAAAAAGAAGACAAAAGCATGACAAGAGGCCAGAGGCAAGTTGTTGCTATTTTCTTCTTCTTACCGATGGCCATTTAGGGTTCCAGACTCCGAGGTCAGCTGTGACAGACCACAAGGTCAGAGTTCAGCTGATGCCAACAGGTGGGCAAGAAATGCCCCTCAAACCCAACTGTGCTGTCTTGGGCCTGCAGGCCTGGACCCAGGTTACCCCATGGGCCATCCAGGCACCCAGCACATTTGCACAGCAGAGGGCAGCGCTGGCCTGGGCACCCCAGGAAAAGCAGGCACAGGCCCACCCTGAGTGCCAGCCAGGGGTGCAAATGCCATTTGACCTTGGTTCCCAGTCACAGAGACTGGACTTGAGCAGCCACTCTGAGCTCCTAGCCTCAAGTCAGCTGGGAAGTGCTGGCAGGAAGCAAGCTCTGCCCATCCGGAGCTGGGGCTTGTCTTCCTCGCTGCCACGGGGAGGCCCAGGGCCACGCACTCTTCCTTACCTACATTTCTCAAGCTCCTCACGGTGATGGCGAAGCCCTTGGTTCGTGGCAACAGGTGATGCTTGAGGCGAGGCAGCCCCTTGGCCCGGGCCACCTGCATGCTGATCTCATGCTTCTTCTCCGTGAACCGTGTGCCCTCACAGTGAATCAGGAACTGGAAGGAAGGAGGCAGGAGTCGCACGCAGCCTCGGGGTCACACACAGCCCTGGGGTCATGCATGGCCCTGGGGTCACACACAGCCCCAGGGTCACATATGGCCACACGATCACACAGGGCCCCATGGTTACATACAGCCCTGAGGTCACACACAGCCCTGGGGTCACATACAGCCCTGGGGTCACACACAGCCCTGGTGTCATGCCTGGCCCTGGGGTCACACACAGCCCCAGGGGCACATATGGCCACACGATCACACAGGGCCCCATGGTTACATACAGCCCTGAGGTCACACATAGCCCTGGGGTCACACACAGCCCTGGGGTCACACATAGCCCCAGGGTCACATATGGCCACATGATCACACACGGCCCCATGGTCACACACAGCCCTGGGGTCACACACAGCCCTGGGGTCACACACGGCCCCATGGTCATACACGGCCCCACAGTCATACGTGGCCCCACGGTCACACACGGCCCCATGGTCACATACATCCCTGAGGTTATACACAGCCCTATGGTCACACACAGCCCTGGAGTCGCACAGGACCACACAGTCACGTGTCCTGTGGAAGTCACATGGGGGTCCCACGGTCACAGTCCTGCAGGAGCCCTTGGGACACAGCTGCTCTGGTGCCTACATACAAAATACTTCTCGGGGTAGTCCCGGAGGTGCTGCAAACTGGTGGCAACCGTCTTGCGATCCTGCTCCCACTTGCGCGAACAGAAGACCATCTCGGTGAAGTACCACATCCAGCCGATAATTGGGACATAGGCCAGCTCTTTCTTGGCCAGGACCTTGGAGCCCTGAAACAGAAGAAGGAGCCCAGGTGCCCATGAAGGAGACGTCAGAGCCACCTGCCGGGGCTGTTGGAGACTGAAGTAGAAAAAGAGGAGGGGACGTTCACACCAGACGCCTCGGGACAGTCCCAGAACACATGCTGTCGAGGCCATGGACCCTGGTGCCCTCCCCACCTTTCAGCTAGAGGTCCAGGTTGTGCTTGCCCTGCCAGTGTGGGAGCAGGGGGCAGGGGCACCCTGGTTCTCAGCGCAGACGGCAGGAGTCAAGAAGGCAGCAGCGAGCAGTCACAGGTATTCAGGGTCCTGACGATGCTCCCACCACCATCCAAACGGTTTCTAGGTTATCACCGTCACATACTCGCTAAGCCCACCGTGCAGCTGTGTGACACTAATTTGTGCACCTCTTTTCTGCAGATCTCACTGAGTTTTGTGATATTACAAAATATAGTAATTCTTGATCGCTGAAAATGTCAAACGCTAGAAAATGTAGCATTCCTAGGTGTGAGGTTAACATCCTTCTTGAACAGTGGTTGGCCAAAGATTCATTTGAATCCGATTTTTCCGAGACAGCTCAACTCACTCTGCTGAGCTCTGCAGTTGAGGCAAACAGGAGTCTCCGCTCACAGAGCAGGCTGCGGAGCCCAGTGGGATCTCCGGGTACAGCTGGTCCAAGCTGGGAGTAAAACCCAGACCAGGAGATGTGCTCGGTGCCCTCCACACCCGCTGCCAGCATGTCCTTGAGGCTGAGACGGGGCAGAAGCACCTGCCAGAGACCTTCTTGAGGCTGACGCAGGTGCACGAGCTAGGCCCCACAGGTCCCCTCTGGGGAGTCTCAGGGCAGTCCTGGGTCCCCAGGGCTCGGTGTGGCCCTCCCCAGCCAGGCGTCCACTACATCAGTCCCCCTACACTGAGGAAGACCAGGGCTTCAGTGGGATGGACGGGGCAGTGGAGACACAAAAACTGCTTTTTATCTGATGGATGTTTATCTTTTCACCTTAATTTTGGAACTGGCCAAGATGCTCCTTGATCAGTGGGTCGATGACTGATCAATGGGATATCAGCGGTCAGGGCAGCCCTAAACCTAGGATGCCCACAGCGCAGAGAGCTCCGGCTTCAACACAGCCCTCTCTCCTCTCCTCCCCGTTACACCCATGCCTCTCCGCAGCTCCAGCTCAGCACAGGGTCAGTAAGCCGTGTCCCCCAACCTACTGGCAGAACAGAAAAAGGTCTAAACAGCCAATTGCTACCCTACTTTAAAAAAACAAGAAACTTCTTCCCTCACATGGGATAGAAAAGGCAGATACCTTCTAGGTTTAGCATCTCCATTTTCTGATGGAGTTTGTTTTTCACACAAATCCAACATGCAGATTCTCTCCAAGAAAACTTAGCCATGAAATCGGAGGCCCTATCTCCAGGGGACTCCGGGAACATCCCCGTGGGTGGGTGAACCCACTGGTGCGGGTGTGAGGGCTTACCGTGTGCTGTGCCCATGGTATTTTTTAAAATTATATTTACCTGAACTCATTCCAAACATGCAGTCATTTGAAGGAGCTATAAATGATGATTGGTTCTGCAGCCAGGAAGGGGCCACAGACTAAAGCAGCAGCTGTTGGCCCTGGGAAGGTGAGAGGTCCCATGCAGCCAATCATGGCTTCTGCTGGGGAAAAGCACTCTCAGGGATATTTCCCGTTCACAATTCTATCTTGCAAGATCCTAGTGGGTCCTAGTGGTTGGCCTCTGATGACCTGCTGCTAAATGGAAACGACAACTTTGACAGTGATGCGGCTTATCTAGACCCGTAGATGGTCACCTGGGATGGGAGTCTCTATCTCCATCCCTCTTAGATCACCAAAAATGTTTAGATATCCCACGGTAGACATGTCACGTGGGTTATGGTGTGTACCAGATCTTGTATAACACTAGAGAGGAGTCAGCAAGCTACTGCCCTCGGGACAAGCCTGCTCCTCTGCCTGCTTTTGTAAGTGACGTCCTGTGGCCACACAGCCTCTTGTCCATGTGCCTATTGTCTGCAGCTGCCTTCACGCTACACACAGGAGTGTTTTTTGACAGACACGCTGTGGTCCACAAAACCTAAAATATTCATTCTCTGGCCCATTCCAGATGACATTTAGAGCCACTAAATTTAGAGCCACTAATTAGAGCCTAATTTAGAGCCACTAAAACTTGTTTTCTATGACTGTGTAATGGCTAGGCAATGGTTTACTGTATAATACTAAATTTTTAAAAGATCTGGAACAAAGGTGAGTCTATAGCATTATTATGACTTTATGAAAAAAGTAAAGCAGAGAAAAACAACAGTAGTTGTTGCTGGGCTGTTGGGAACAGGCCCCCAAAATCTGGCCATAAACTGGCCCCAAAACTGGCCATAAACAAAATCTCTGCAGCACTGTGACATGTTCATGATGGCCATAACACCCACACTGGAAGGTTGTGGGTTTACCAGAATGAGGGCAAGGAACACCTAGCCTGCCCAGGGCGGAAAACCGCTTAAAGGTGTTCTTAAACCACAAACAATAGCATGAGCAATCTGTGCCTTAAGGACATGCTCCTGCTGCAGTTAACTAGCCCAACCTATTCCTTTAATTCACCCCATCCCTTCGTTTCCCATAAGGGATACTTTCAGTTAATTTAATATCTATAGAAACAATGCTAATGACTGGCTTGCTGTTAATAAATACGTGGGTAAATCTCTGTTCAAGACTCTCAGCTCTGAAGGCTGTGAGACCCCTGATTTCCCACTTCACATCTCTATATTTCTGTGTGTCTTTAATTCCTCTAGCACCGCTGGGTTAGGGTCTGCCTGACCAAGCTGGTCTCAGCACTGGGCAGTCATTTACAAGTGATTTTTATTTTGTTAGATTTTCCAGTTTTTTATTGTAAACATATTTCACAGTATCCCTGTAACAATGTCACTTTTAAGAAGGGGCTGACATCAGCATGCTTTCGCCATCTGCTTTGGGAATATAAGTGAGGCTCTGGGTCAGAAACAGTTTTGTTTTGTTTTGAGACAGAGTTTTGCTCTTGTCGCACAGGCTGGAGTGCAATGGCACAATCTTGGCTCACTGCAACCTCCGCCTCCCAGGTTCAAGTGATTCTCCTGTCTCAGCCTCCTGAGTAGCTGGGATTACAGGTGCCCATCACCATGCCTGGCTAATTTTAGTATTTTTTGTAGACACAGGGTCTTACCATGTTGGCCAGGCTAGTCTCTAACTGCTGACCTCAGGTGATCTGCCTGCCTCGGCCTCCCAAAGTGCTGGGGTAACAGGTGTTTTTGATGATCAAAGGGAAAAGAAGAGACATAACTTTCTTTATACTGGCTTAATCCATCTTTCAGCCTTAAAATTTTGGATGTTATCAATATGTCTAGGTTTTGATGTTAACTATGTTTGGTAAGAAACATGTTAAAATATTAAGGTAGAAGCTTTTACTTCTTCAAACTGAAGAAATGTCACTCAATTCTCTTTCCCTGGCAGGGCTGCATGAAAAGCTCTGGAATGAGACAGTCCTGTTTCTAACCAGGCTCTACCACGACCCAGCTGTGTAACTGTGCTCAAGACACCCAATCCTTCTGAGCTTCTGTTTCCCCTCTGTGTGATGAGGAAGACAACACATATTCCCTGGTGTCCCTGTAAAGACTGAATAATGTATGGAAACATCTACAAAAGCACAAAGTTGAGACTCTGACATGGGCGTTCAATAACTTGTAGCTATTATTTTCATCCCAGAGCAAGCAGTATCTGAACACCTCCTTATTCAACCCATTTTCTCTGCCATGCTTTAGCGTAATAGTAACAACAATAGATTACATTTATTTAAGCACAACTGAAGAGTCACTGTGCACAGACAGTTGCCCAAGTTAACTCACTTATGACAAAGAGACTAGAAACTGCTATTAAGACATACTGACAGTTCCCCCGGCAAAAGGTTCAATAGGCTATAACTATCATGGCTTTCCCAGGCCACTCAGAGGCTTCCATGTGTGATGCCAACAGCTTTCAGAGAGAATGTACAAGAAAATATACTAATTTCATCAATTCTGGATTTATTTCACAGGTCAACGTGAAAGGATTTACTGATGAGTTAGATGTATCAACAGATCTGTCTAGATACAAGCATATTTAGACAATCTAAAATTTTCACGTGGAGTAAACCACTATGGAGAGAGAGAGTGAAAGAGAGAGTTGTCTTAGGGCAGGTGCTTGGAGCTAATCTAGTTGAGCGACCCATCCTGAGGCTCCCCACAGCTCAGGGAAGCAGCCAGCCCCATGACCTGGTCTGCATCTCTGGCAAGTGGGCCAGCCCTTGCAGAGACCCTGGACGTTGGGAAGAGCTGACGCAGAGAGGGCCTGAGACCCAGTACTCTGACCCTGACCTTCAGAAGCTCTACAGCCTCTGGGGTGAAAAGGGATCGGAATGAGGCCATTCTAGTTAAGGTTTTCTCCAAAATGGCTACTCATCAAGGCTTCAGATGAAGATTCCAAACCCCGGTGCTGCGAGCAGCATGGCTGGGAGCAGCAGGGTATCCTGCTCCTGCACCGCCTCCACCCCCACTAACACCAGCAAGGAACCCCTCAGGGGCTGAGGCTCTATGGCCAGCTTTGTTTGCAAACGTCCAGTCATTCATGAAGGTTTCCCAGTAGGGTTACCAGTTAGTCAAGTGAGCCAAGGTCATTTATTTCTACTAAATATATAAAATGAGGTATCTTAAGTGGAACTTCAAAAACAGGTGAGATGTTCCTTAACAATAAAGCAGGCTAAACAGCCTGCCTTTGAGTCCTTTGACTGTTTTCTTGACTACCAGCTGGAGCCACTGTAGCAAATGTTTCAGTTCCCTGGAGCCAAGACAAGCCATCCAGCCCTATCACTCCAGGGTCCCCACAAGTCTCCCCATAGCACAGCCTCCATTCTGATGTATGGTGCATAAGCGCATCAGATTGGAATCTTCAACCCAAGGCTGCTCTGTCTGTGCAAAGGTATTGATTAAGAAGCCCCCTATGCCAGGCATTATGCAGGTGCCGAGAACTCAATGCTGGTTATGATTACCTGTGGCCTTGAGGTGCCCAGAGTCTAGTGGGAAGGGAGAAGCAGAAAGCTTTCAGTTTCTGTGTTCCACTTCTGCCACTAAACTCTGCCAGTAAGTTGTTGTACAGACCCCTTCTGGCAAGAAAGGTGTGTGCAAGAGAGGATGGTATGGGCCTGGAATCTCTGAAATCTGTCCCTAGTTATAGCAAAATGCAGAAAAGACTGGAGCTCAAAATAATGAATCAGTTTGTGTGCACGCGTGCGTGTGTGTGTGTGTTCATCAAAAGGTGAGAGACTCCATTCTCTTTTTTTTGAGACGAAGTTTCACTCTTGTTGCCCAGGCTGGAGTGCAGTGGCACAATCTCAGCTCACTGCAATCTCTGCCTCCCGGGTTCAAGCGATTCTCCTGCCTCAGCCTCCGGAGTAGCTGGGATTACAGGCACCTGCCACCGTGCCTGGCTAATTTTTTGTATTGTTAGTAGAGACGGGGTTTCACCATGTTGGCTAGTCTGGTCTCGAACTCCTGACCTTCAGGTCTCCCAAAGTGCTGGGATGGGATTACAGGTGTGAGCCACCAAACCTGGCTTTTCTTTTTTTTTTCTTTTTTTGAGATGGAGTCTTGCTCTGTTGCCCAGGCTGGAGTGCAGTGGTGCAATCTCAGCTCACTGCAACCTCCGCCTCCAGGGTTCAAGCGATTCTCCCACCTCAGCCTGTGGAGTAGCTGGGATTACAGACACCTGCCACCACACCCAGCTAATTTTTTTTTTTTTTTTTTTTTTTTTTTTTGTATTTTTAGTACAGACGAGGTTTCAACATGTTGGCCAGGTTGGTCTCAAATTCCTGACCTCAGGTGATCCACCCGCCTCGGCCTCCCAAAGTGCTGGGATTAGACTCCATTCTTGCCAACTGCAGTAGCACAAGTGTGCCTGGCCTTGCTCACATTGCATTCCTTTCTCTTGCTTTCTGCCTTCTCTGATGCTGAGAGGAAAATGGTGTAGACCTTACACTGCCAGAAAAATCTCAAGAGAGTCTCAAAACAAAATGTATGCTGTTCCACAATTAGTCACAGCTGCAGGGGAAATGCATAAAGCAAACATTAAATGAAAGCACTCTCTAAGAATTCACCTCAGACTGGAATTAGAGACTTTATCCACGTGGGACAGAGTACGCGGGGTTCTTGCACTCCTGACTGGCCTCCTCCAGCCAACTTCCCTCTGTTTACCAGGCCCCAAACTATTCTGGGTTTGACAGGCATGCAGATGTGCGGAGAGGAGAAGAGGACCGTGCAGGCTTGAAGCAGCAGGATACTGATCACTACTGGCTCTGCTTTGAGGGGTCACGGTCACGGCTGTCAGGACACAAAGATGGGAGAGGAGCTCCCTGCACAAAGCCCTTGTCCACCCTGCCTGGACACAGGTCCTCAAGGCCCCTTCCCAGTTTCTCTTCTGAACGGACAGCCCAGCCCTTGTGGGATGGCGTTAGCCCCGCAGATGGGAAGGCAGAGCAGAGGCGTTACAGGGGTAGGTGGGAAAACAGGACGTCCCCAGGGCAGAAAGTAATAGGAGCGATTGGCCTCGCCCAGCACCCCAGCACCCTATAGATAATAGGTGCTTGCTAAACAGTTGCAGGAAGCACAGGCAGATGGGGCATCAGAGGGCCCTAAGCACAGAGCACGAAAGGGGGACAGTTCATGGGATGATACCAAGTCGGTGTACAGCAGACAGCACAGGCTGTGACCGTTTGCTGAGGGCTGCGCACAGAGGAGGAGGAAGCCCCAAGCTTTCAACAACCCTGGCTTTATGAGCGGTGGGATCAGACTCTGGCTTGTTAAAGACACTGCCAGAGGATCCTGGTCAACAAAGAAGAAGACCCCGGTGTGTCCAACGTGGGACCGGACTTTTACAGATGAGCATGCGCTCCCACCTCCAGGATGGTAGTCGGTATGAACCCGCGGTGCAGCCATAGTCCCGTGAGCTGCCCACTTCCTGCCCTGGCCAGTGGTTCGCCTGCTACCTCGGTCGTCACCATTATCGGGTTCCTCATCCATGTGATTCCAGATCCCAGCACACTTGCCAAACCCAGTGAATGGTAAGAGGCAGAGGGTGGCGTCCCAGCCCATTCCTAGTGCAAGGTCTGTGCCTGCAGAGCTGATGAATTCACATGGTGGCGGGCAGCACTGGGTATCTGCCATAGGCTCAGGTGATGCCAGCAGTGAGCAGGGTGCAAGACCACCCTACAGAGCTGACAAAACCATGGCGGTGGGCATATCTGCTGAAAATACCCCTCCATATCTGGAAACTTCTAACTTCTCTTCAGCCAAAGAGCCCTTGACAAGTGCATGTGTATGAAGAAGCTGGGGTAAAGGCGGTGAAATAATGCTGTGTTGCATGAACACGGTCTCCTAGAGAAACCACACACAATCAACACTCACTGGACACGTATTTTGAAGGTATATCAATTGCTATCGTTGTCATGATCGAAAATCCTTCGTTTAAAGAGGCAGCACAGGGCTTTATGGGCGCCCTCACGCACAGGCACTCTGCCTAGGAGGGATAATGCCACTCTCCTCCTCTCACCTTTCTCTGTGCAAAGAAATGCAATGCTGCTATTTTTCATTTGTTTTATTTATTGATTTATGTTTATAGAGACAGAGATCTCACTGTGTTGCCCAGACTGGTCTCAAATTCCTGGCTTCAAGCCATCCTCCCATCTTGGCCTTCCAAACCACTGGAATTACAGGCATGAGCCACTGTGCCAGGCCAGAAATGCAACATCTCAATCTGTGTTCAGGCCCAGCTGTATTACATATTTACTAAGAGGGCAAGGGAAGGTCTCAGACCAAATGTCATGTCACCGTGGGGTGGGCAGCCGCCAAGGGGCCCTGTGATCCTGGCCTCCTGGCACCCACGCCCCTGCACACCCTACCCCACATCCCTGGGGCACGGGCGGTGCTTACTGATCCACTTCCAACCAACAGTATGGATAGAAAGGATGGGAGGTCTCTCCCGGGTCCCGGTTACAGAAGCTTCATGGCTCCTGCCCCGGGCGCCCGCTCTCTCTCTCTTGCATGGCTCAACCTCAGGGGTGCAGTTGCCATATTCCGGGAAACACTGTGTTTTAAAACAAGCCTGTGTGGCGAGGGATGGAGGCCGGGCAGCAAACCCGTGAGCAAGCTTGGAGGCAGATCACACACAAGCCCCTCCCGAGAGACCCTGCCAGATCCCCCGCTCAGCTGCACCTGGATTCCTGACCACATAGGCAGGGGACCTTTATGACACGCTTGTTGTTTTAAGCCGCTATGTTTTGGGTCTCATCACGCTGCCATGGATAACTAATCCACATGGCTTCTTTAAGGATCTGAAGACAAATATCCCAGTTGGCCCGGCAGATAAATATTGATAATATAATAATAGCTGCTGCTCATGGTGTGCTTGCCAGGGCCTGGCGCTACCCAGACACTGAACGATCATGCTCTTATGCAACCAGCCGGGACCTGCTAAGGGAAAAAGATAAGCAAATGGGGACGTGAAGCCTCAGGAACCTGACCTGCGCTTGCACACCACGGTTTGTTGGGCACCTTAGTGACCTGTGCCCCAGCTGACTGCGTGTCACTCTCATCTCCAGGGAGGCAAGGTTCAGCGTGTGACTCCAAGATCAACCAAAGCCTTCAGAGCCCTGGCACATGCCAGGAAGCACTGGCTCCCAGGAGAACCAGAGCCTCTGGGGACAGGCACTGCAATGAGCAGTGGCCTCATGGGATCTTGAGTACATTTAAAAGGTTGAAAGCCTCTTTGTTAAAAAGACAATTCCATTACTTTCCCCAAAAAGACCAATTTTACATTTAAAAATGCCACCTTCGTGAATTTCTGCAAATTTCATTGACTTCAATTTAAACTCATTTCCTCTTGGACTGTGATAGGTGAGGATGAAAAATGCCTGGTCAGGAACCTTCTTCTGTTCCTTTCCTCTTTAAAAAGCAAATTCCACAGACTCCAGAAGGATCCCAACATCATGTGTTATTTAAGAAAAAACAGAGAGATGAATGAGGTTGTTTTTTTTTTCTGAAGGTCATTAAAGACAAAAGATGTTGCTGAACAATGAATATAAGGCAATGCCGTTCTTTACCCCCTTCCAGGGTGGCAGAGATGAGCACCAGCCATCTCACCCACCGTCATGGGCCACAGCTCTCCAGTAGATGGCAAAGCTGTTCCCTGTGACATGGGGAGGGGGTTCCCTGGGAGGGTACAGGCTGGCAGCTCCCATCCGCCCCAGCCAGTGCCTGCCATGTGCCTGCCCCACTCAGTCCTCTCCTGGCACCTGCTCTCTCTAGCTCCTTGCTTTGTGAGAATGTGCATAACAATGGCACTGGCTGTTTCTGTGGTGTTTGGAGAAGAGAGGACTCAGGGCTTAAGGAAGCACTTTAGCAAGAATCCAGAAAACCCAAGGCCCCCACTGAGCAAGGCTCCCAAACTTCCAGTGAGAAGAGAAGAGGCATCGCCCTGGCCCCAGGCTCCCAGACCTGCCTATTTCACCTGTAAGTGGAGCCCCCGAAGACTCTAATCCTAAGCACAGTCTCCACCATCAGTGGCAGGGCGCAGACCCCCTTACACACAGCATTAGTTGTTTGGGTGTTCACAGTAATGAGTGAAGTCCTATAAATAGAATATCACCGATGAAATCAAGGGGAGGTGCGGTCCCTATGCTGCAGGTGGGATGGGCGTGCTGTTGACTTGCTTTCCCGCCATCAGCGCTCCCGCCCTTATGCTCAGAGTTGTAAAGTGATCATGGATTCGGAAGCCTTTGGGAGCAAAACCCTAAACGGTGCTGAGATTAAATTCCCGCTCCGTGAATGTCTCTTCCCGTCTGGGGGCTATGTCCTCTCTCTGGACCTGGGTCCCTCCCTGCATGTGTTGTGGGGCTCACCTTCTCCCTCATCTGTGCCTGTCCCCGTGCCTGCTAGTGCTGGGCATCTGGGTGCTTCTCCAGCATCTCTGTGCATGACCCTGCTCTGCCAGCTCCTGCAACTCCATCCCCAACCCCATGAAGGTGCGGGTGACTTGCACCCCTCGAATGAGGCCTTTGCACATCACGAGCCAGGAAGGTATTAGAAGCCTGGTCCTTACTGCAGCTGGTCTGGGTCGTTTTAGGATGGTCAGGGTCCTGTTTCTGGAGCAGGTCTTGGGCCCCAGGGCCCCTGCTTTTGTGCCCCCAACATCTTCCAGGGGAAAGAGCAGAAGCTTTGAAAGCAGACTTAGGAGCTATTGTCCTCGGGCAAATCACTCAGCCAAACTGAGGCTCTGGGGGTTTATTTATAAAATGTGGATAATAATATCCTAAGGATTAGAAATTACGGAAATAAGGTGAACAGCACACGGAGTGAGCTCGTGGGTGTAATGCCACCAAGGGGCAAGCAGGGATTGGAAGGCACCCCCAAGTTCAATGGGCCTTCTGCTCTACCTCAGAGACTCCTGGTCCACGAATTATGAATGTTTGCACATTCTAAGCATGAACACTACCAGAAAGTACTTACAAAGCCTGGAAAATCACCAGCTGCCTCTAAACTACAGTTTGAATTCCAGGAGACGCTGGCACCTCAGAAAGCCTAGCTGTAAAGGTGGTAAGACAGGTGACCTGACAGTCAAGATGCACCGGCTCCCCATACCCTTCCTCCTGGGCAGGAGAAGAACCCTGCCATTCACCCCTGGTATCCATGACGGGGTTAGGACCATGACATTCTAAGGGGCGATCTCTCATCAGAGAGAATAAATCCACAAAGCTGTAACTCAGATCTCTGCCCAAGTTCTCCACATCAGAGAATGATAGTTACTAGAATGTTTGCTCTTGTTCCTAGAAATATATTTGCACACACACACACGTGTACACACAAGAAGATATCAAGTTAGCACTGGGAGAATAAATAGGAAAACAAAAGGAGAAAACAGTGGGCAGGAGGCTATCTTCATCTGCCTCCAGGAACCAGACCCGTCTAGTTCCCTATGTCCTCCATGGCCTGATAGCCTCTGTCTCCAATCTTCTATATTCTAAACACCACGATTTTGTCTTCAGGGGCTACCAAAAAGCAAGGTGATTTCAGCAGCCCCCGTATCTGTTCTACAGGGCATTGTTCCCAGGTGCAAAACCTGATCTCTAAGTTCTGGTGCAAACTCTTAGGACCTTTCCTAGCCCCAGACCAATGTACACTGTGTACACTGTGATTCCTACGGAATACCTGAGTACCGCAGATGACTCTGATTCAGCTATGTGACACAGGCTCAACCGCTACACGCTGCAGTGTGTTGAAGACGACAAAAGTCAACTGAAGAGACCCAGTTCCAAAGGCATGCAAGCTACGTGCAAGAGGTCAAACTAGTTGGGAAAAAAAAAAAACAGAATTTCAGAATAATTCTGAATTTTGCAGTTCACTCTCTCACTTATGGACTCAAAGTTCTTAAGCCTTCAACGATCAAAATGCAGAGGTGATGTCTGCCTGTTAGCCAAGGAGGCAGTAGAGCATGGAATTAAGAAATATGGATGGGAGTGAAATCCAAATCTAATTACAGCTGTGTGACTCTGAGCCGAATATTAAGCTCTATATAACTTAGTTTTTAAAAAATGGAGTGTGGCACATCATCTATTCATGTTGCTGTAAGGATTAAATAAATGAATCATATGTAAAATGGCCGGCAGGTAGCAATTGTTGAGTACCTCTTATGATTGCCCATAAGAAGCTGTTAAGACTGACTCCCAGCAAGAATAAAAAGCAGTTTATTAGGACCATTTCATCAAGTAGAAACTCTGTTGATTCTTCTGCAAGTTCTGAATGACCAGGAGCAAAAAGACAAGTGGTGGGGCTGAACCAGAGAAATGTGTGAGGCAGGGGGGAATGCACTTCTGACTTACCCCTAACAGCCCAAAGCGTTCGGACAGGCTCCAGCCACACAGAAAGTCAATTTCAAACTTGTGGTTGAGAACCACGATGGCATTTTCCTTCCCATACTTGAGGTAGGCGCGCGGGTCCGTGAAGATGGTGCATTCCGTGCCCGACCACCACTCCAGCAGCATCACCAGCTCTGGAACAAACCACAACAGACAGATGTTTACTACATGCAGCCTTGTCCTGGGAGCCCTGCTGAGAGCAGGGCTCTGCCCTCCCAGCTAGGGGAGAAAGCAACTTCTACGGGCAAAGTTCTGGATCGTTGCAGCACAGACCTTGGTCCTTGAAAGGGTTCAGAAGCGGAAGGAAACACGAGAAAGACTTCACAACATTCTCCAGGGAAGAAGAGAAGGATACTTGGAGAAGGTAAATGACTTACTCCTTGATTAAGTATCTTGGGGGAAAATAAATCAGAAAGCCAGAATCCGTCAAGAATTCATGCCCTTGTGTTTACAGAGCTCTGAAAGGCAGCGTGAGATGAGGTATAGAATTCTTAATATCCTGGAAAATGACTAATTGGGATACTTATAAACTCCATCAAAGAATATTAAATACCCAACTTTCCTCTCCCATTTCTGACACTTGAGGGCAGGGGAAGAATGGAGAACGGCAGATCCAGCCGCAGGAGCCCCAGCACCTGCAGGGCAGCGGGAGTGAGAGTCAGCCCACAGCAGGTCTGAAGAGAACTATTGAAATAGTCTTTGTAGGGGCTTGTGAAAAGAAAAAGATTCTTTCTTCAGGCAATCATGACCACTTGCAGTTTATTCTTCAGTGATGCCTCCCATCCAGGGAACCTATTCCCAATCTGGCAGGCTCAGGAAAAGCCTCTAGGGTAGAAACTGTCCAGAAAAACAGTTGAATGTGGGTGATGGACTTTGAAATGGACTCTTGAAGTTGACGGTGTTCAGTAGGGGTGGGCGCCTGAGTGCTCTGCGAGGGTTGTGCCTCCTCCCCCTTTCTTTTGAGATGGAGTCTTGCTCTGTCACCCAGGCTAAGTGTAGTGGTGTGATCACGGCTCACTGCAGCCTCAACCTCCCAGGCTCAAGTGATCCTCCTACCTCAGCCTCCTGAGTAGCTGGGACTACAGGTGTGCACCACCATGCCCAGCTAATTTTTTTGTATTTTTTGTAAAGACGCAGTTTTGCCATGCTGCCTACTGGGTAGACTCCTGGGTTCAAGCAATCCTCCTACCTCAGCCTCCTAAAGTGCTGGGATTACAGGCGTGAGCCACTGCACTGGGCCATGTGCCCCCCATTTTTAATCACTCGTTAGTGAAGCATGCATGCAGCAGAGGACTCACTCCCTCCCCACCCCATCCCTACCCTACAGGCAGGTGGATTTGGCCTTGACTCCAGTAAGCCTAGTGTTGTAGCTCAAGCGGCTGTCCTTGGAAACTTTTCTCCTCCAGGCTGGAAGCTGGAGGCTTGATGTGGAGCACCAGAGCCCTCTAGAAGGCATCACAGTCCAGTTTTTACGCAGTGAGCACTGCGGGACTTTGGACAAATTAACCTCCTAACACGACAGTGCCTTCATCTTTGGAATGGGGTTGCCCCAAAGGGTTCTGTGAACATAAAGCACCTAACACATAGTATGTGCTCAGCGTAGAGCACATTGTAAGTTCCCAGCAAACTGAAGCTATCAGTCTCCTTAAAAACGACGAAAACCACTCCCCTTCCTTCTCCAGAAATGAACAATAAAAAGTGTCTACCTATTTCTAGGAACTGAGAAAATATCAAGCTCCCATTCAGTTGTCCCACCAGGCCATAGCATTGCTGGAACCAGAAGCACAAGTCAAGGAATAGTGACGCATCCTGGGAGTTGGTTGTGGGGGCAGGAAGGCGGTGGTGGGGTGGGGGGCTAGGGTAACAACATGCAGCCTGGCAGGGCAGCCTGACAAAGGGACAGAGGGACAATTTGTTACCATGGGGCACGAAGATGCCTGTAGTGCTGGGCTGAGTTTTTCCAAGCCCGAGGATGGGAAGGATCAATCTACTCCATTACTGGCCAAAGGCCACAGATAAGCACCAAAGCACAACTCCACAGGGAGTCAGGGAGACAAAGCTGATGCTTCCAAGAGACTCACATTTCGTTTGTGTCACAGGCCAAATGCCTCTCTGTGGGACTCCTTCCTGCCTAAGGCCACTCTCACCGCCCCCTACCCCACTCACATGTTCCCCAGTACCCTCCACAGCCCTATCACAGCTGTGACCACAGCGTGAGGTTCTCTCCCCTACTATAGAGCACGGGCGCCACGAGACAGCAACTGTACTGTTTGGTTCACCCCGACCTTAGCCTCGACTCCAAGACTCAGCAAGAGCCTGGCACATGGATGCTTTCAACAAATGCCGCGTGATTACCTAATGCGTTCAAGCACTCTGCGAGATACAGGAGATGATTAAACATTAGATCAGATCCTGGCACCCCTCCAGCTTACTGTCCAGGGAAAAGACAGCTACACAACCACAAAACAACATGACAGGGAAAGGAGAAAGGCCTGCTAATAGGATGGCTGCTGAATATTGTCTTCATGGATTTGGGAGTCAGACACATCCAGGCTCCGATCCCGGTGGAGCCACTTACTAGTTGTGAGACTTCTGGCATGTTTCTCAATGTCCCCCTTCTCTGTAAAGTAGGGACAGGTAAATGCCGTTAGAGATGCTGTGGATATTAAATAAGAGCATGGACTCAAGGCACCTAGCATGACATGGGGCATAGCAGGCAATCAATAAATGGACAGCTTTTTAATTACTATTATATGCCTGATAATTTTATCACACACAAAGGCTCTGTGACCACTGAAGGGGAGAGGAAGGGTGGGGAGGAGACAGAGGCAGATGGAGAGAAACCCAGAGAGAGAACATCACAGAGACTTCTGGGTTACCAGAGTAAGGAGTTATGATTTATGATTTCATTCTAAAGGCAATATAAAAACCACTGGAGCATTTTTAAATAGACACACACCAACATCCAATTTGCATCTGAAAAAAAAATCACTCTGATTGAAACAAGAACAGACTGGAATAGGGAGGCCAGTTAGCGGGTGACTACATCAGCACAGCGAGAGGGGATGGTGCTGGGACCAGGTGGGGGAAGACCAAATTTCCCACTCACCTCAGCAGGCTGCTCACTAGACAACTAAACTCTGAACCTCACTGGATAAAAGAGCTTGATTTCCCTTTTTTGTTTTTTCCTTTCTTTTTTTTGAGATGGTGTGTCACTCTGTCATCCAGGCTGGAGTGCAGTGGCCCAATCATACATAGCTCACCGCAGCCTCAACCTCCTGGGTTCAAGCAATCCTTCCACCTTGGCCTCCCAAAGTGCTGGGATTATAGGCATGAGCCACCACGACTAGCCCATTTTCTTAATCAAATGATTTCACTTCTTTTTTAATTCACAGAAACACATTTATACAGTCACATTGTAAAATGATTCAAACAACCCAGAAGTATGTACAAGAAAATATAAAATTCCTCTAACTAGCTTCAGGATGTGTTACGCTGGCCTGGACTACATTTCCCAAACTTCCCTTTCTTGTATATTTCTGGTTAGAGGGCACCACAAGAGACACTCTTGGGAGGTTTGCAAGGTGGAAAGGAAATACCACCATTTTGTAGGTCACACATGTTTTTGCTGATCTGCTGATTCACGTCTTCAGCACAAAGCAGCGGCTAGGCCTGCTACTGCTCCTCCTTCCCCTGGATCCCCGCCAGCTTCTCTGAATCCCAGGCCAGGTGGTTGTATTTTGCTCTGTGACCAAGATCCCAGCTTCTGCAGGACATCCACACCATCAATGCCAGATGCAAAAGAACTGATGCAAGTTTTAGCCCATTCTCATGAGGCTCCCGCTTGTGCTTGGTGGTTCCAACATCTTGATCTCTCCCAGTTTATATCCATCGCCCCTTCCTGACCGCCTGCCCTGTGGACTGCAAGCTCCAGCATCACATGCAGATACAACTTCCCTACAGAGACTGCTAAACAAGCCCCCACAGCTGAATAAGGCCAATGAGATGATGTCTACATATCTCCCAGTGGTTTAGCTTCTTATTGAACCCTGACCGAGAGACACTTCCTCTTTACCGCCCCAACCTCCCTCCCTTCTCCAAGGTTAACCATTATGAACAGTTTGGAAAATAGTCTTATAGTTTTTTCCCCTAGGCATTTATACACATGCGCGTGCACACGTGCGCGCGCGCACACACACACACACACACACACACACACACACATACACATATACTCAAAAAGCTTTGCCTTTAGTTGAATGGCTTACCAGCTGATGTTTTAGTTGGATGTTCTTATGTAAATATACTGCACATGACTTACAAATATCTCCATGAATTTAGGTTTCATTTCCTCTCCTGTGTGGTTGCTTTCAATGCTATCAGCCAGAGCCTTCTCTCTACAGCTGCACAGCCAGCTCCACCTGGCAGCCCCTTCTTGTGCTGAAGAGCCCTACAGGAGCTGCTTCCATTTGAGGTGGGATGTCTGTCATTCAAATTAGATGCCTCTTTTTACCATCATGCATCAAATGCCAGGGCTTTCTAACTGCTCAGGGCTCAGGGCATGCAGCATTTCAAGTACGTTCAGCCTGTCCTTCCACTCTCACCATCAGTTCACAGTGGCTGCAGATCTTGGAATTGCTCCATCTCGTTCTCTTCCCACAAGATTCTGTCCCTGTACGCTCACTCCATGGAAAGGGCAGTGTCACCTCCTTTCAAAGGACATATTATTTAGAACCTCCAATTTAACTCAGAAAGTTACCAGTGGGCACCTGAGCAATCCATCCCGACCAGAAGCTATCAGCAGGTGCTGCACAACAGAGATGCTTGTGAGAAAGCAGGGCTTTCTGTTGTTTAGTTAAGGGAAAATCACCTGTTGAGAGTTTCAGGTTGCAATCCTGTAACTAGCGTTACAATGCCAGGAGCCCTACGAGGGTAAATCTAAGAGAAGCAAAGATAAGGTATTTGCTGTTTGTCTTAGTCCATTTTATGCTGCTGTAACAGAATAGTTGAGACTGGGCAATTTACAAAGAACAGAGATTTATTTCTTATAGTTCTGGAGGCTGGGAAGTCCAAAGTCAAGAGGGCTGCATCTGGCAAGGTCCTTCTTGCTGTGTCATCCCATAGGGGAAGGCAGAAGGCAGAAGGGCAAGCAAGCATGTACTCAAGTGAGAGAAATAAGGGAAAGCGGCTGAACTCATCCACTTAGCAGGAACCCACTGACCCACTCCTGAAATAATGGCATTAACAAGGGCAAAGCCCTCATGACCTAATCACCTCTTAAAGGCCCCACATCTCAACACTGTTGCATTGGGAATTAAATTTCCAGCCGCACATGGTGGCTCATGCCTGTAATTCCAGCACTTTGGAAGGCCAAGGCAGGCAGATCACAAGGTCAGGAGATCGAGACCATCCTGGCTAACACAGTGAAACCCTGTCTCTACTAAAAATACAAAAAAAAAAAAAAAAATTAGCTGGGCGTGGTGGCAGGCACCTGTAGTCCCAGCTACTCGGGAGTCTGAGGCAGGAGAATGGCATGAACCCAGGAGGCTGCACTTGCAGTGAGCCAAGATCGCACCACTGCACTCCAGCCTGGGTGACAGAGCAAGACTCCATCTCAAAAACAAAAAACAAAAAACAAAAAACCAAAAGTTTCCAACACATGAACTCTGGGGGACACATTCAGAACATAGCATCCCTGAAATATTTACCTTCTTGTCTAGGCATCCAAACTAACACATATTAAACAACCAGAAAAAGCAACCAAGGCTTTAACTTCATAAGAATTGGAGCCATTTGGTAGTTAATTGAAAAATAGTATATCTGGGAATGAAAACAATGCATCAAATCAGAATAAAAACAGGAGAAGAGGAAAGAGGGAAGGACTTATGACCTCCTAGAGAAAAGCCCAGAAGCTGTAAATGACCTGCACTAAGAGGAACCCTCAGTGCGAGAAGTGCAAGGAGGAAGGACATGGTCAGCGGAGATCCCAGGATCTGCAGATTCTGGGTCTTGCCCTTTAGGGTGAGTGAATACCCCAGCCACAGACATGTCCACTCAGGGCAGTGCCCACCACACCTGCCGAGCACAGGGGGCACCCCATCCAGGCCTGGGGTACACACAGACTGTGGGACTCATCACAGTGTGGAGAGGGCATCCCAAGGTGCACACACTACAGGGAATCCCAGAGAGCCAGGGGCACCAAAGAAGCCTGTCCCTAGCCAGGACGGCCACCTGGGAAAGGCCAGCTGGACAGAAAGGCCACAGGACAGAAAGGGAAGCCTGCCACCCACAGAGATGTGGTCAGGGCTTCTTCAATATCATATGGCAATTTTTGAAACTTTTGTCATATTTTTATTTTTTATTTATTATTATTATTATACTTTAAGTTCAAGGGTACATGTGCACAACATGCAGGTTTGTTACATATGTATACATGTGCCATGTTGGTGTGCTGCACCCATCAACTAGTCATTTACATTAGGTATATCTCCTAATGCTATCCATCCCCCTTCCCCCCACCCCACAACAGGCCCCAGTGTGTGATGTTCCCCTTCCTGTGTCCAAGTGTTCTCATTGTTCAATTCCCACCTATGAGTGAGAACATGCAGTGTTTGGTTTTCTGTCCTTGCAATAGTTTGCTCAGAATGATGGTTTCCAGCTTCATCCATATCCCTACAAAGAACATGAACTCATCCTTTTTTATGGCTGCATACTATTCCATGGTGTATATGTGCCAAATTTTCTTAATCCAGTCTATCATTGATGGACATTTGGGTTGGTTCCAAGTCTTTGCTATTGTGAATAGTGCCACAATAAACATATGTGTACATGTGTCTTTATAGCAGCATGATTTATAATCCTTTGGGTATATACCCAGTAACGGGATGGCTGGGTCAAATGTTATTTCTAGTTCTAGATCCTTGAGGAATCGCCACACTGTCTTCCACAATGGTTGAACCAGTTTACAGTCCCATCAACAGTGTAAAAGTGTTCCTATTTCTCCACATCCTCTCCAGCACCTGTTGTTTCCTGGCTTTTTAATGATCGCCATTCTAACTGACATGAGATGGCATATCATTGTGGTTTTGATTTGCATTTCTCTGATGGCCAGTGATGATGAGCATTTTTTCATGTGTCTGTTGGCTGTATAAATGTCTTCTTTTGAGAAGTGTCTGTTCATATCCTTCGCCCACTTTTTGATGGGGTTGTTTGATTTTTTCTTGTAGATCTGTTTAAGTTCATTGTAGATTCTGGATATTAGCCCTTTGTCAGATGGGTAGATTGTAAGATTTTTCTCCCATTCTGTAGGTTGCCTGTTCACTCTGCTGTGCAGTTTCTTTTGCTGTGCAGAAGCTCTTCAGTTTAATCAGATCCCATTTGTCAATTTTGGCTTTTGTTGCCATTGCTTTTGGTGTTTTAGTCATGAAGTCCTTGCCCATGTCTATGTCCTGAATGGTATTGCCTAGGTTTTCTTCTAGGGTTTTTATGGTTTTAGGTCTAACATTTAAGTCTTTAATCCACCTTGAATTAATTTTTGTATAAGGTGTAAGGAAGGGATCCAGTTTCAGCTTTCTACATATGGCTAGCCAGTTTTCCCAGCACCATTTATTAAATAGCGAATCCTTTCCCCACTGCTTGTTTTTGTCAGGTTTGTCAAAGATCAGATGGTTGTAGATGTGTGGTATTATTTCTGAGGGCTCTGTTCTGTTCCATTGGTCTATATCTCTGTTTTGGTACCAGCACCATGCTGTTTTAGTTACTGTAGCCTTGTAGTACAGTTTGAAGTCAGGTAGTGTGATGCCTCCAGCTTTGTTCTTTCAGCCTAGGATTGTCTTGACTATGCGGGCTCTTTTTTGGTTCCATATGAACTTTAAAGCAGTTTTTTCCAATTCTGTGAAGAAAGTCATTGGTAGCTTGATAGGGATGGCATTGAATCTATAAATTACCTTGGGCAGTATGGCCATTTTCACGATATTTATTCTTCCTATCCATGAGCATGGAATGTTCTTCCATTTGTTTGTGTCCTCTTTTATTTCGTTGAGCAGTGGTTTGTAGTTCTCCTTGAAGAGGGCCTTCACATCCCTTGTAAGTTGGATTCCTAGGTATTTTTTTCTCTTTGAAGCAATTGTGAATGGGAGTTCACTCATGATTTGGCTCTCTGTTTGTCTGTTATTGGTGTATAGGAATGCTTGTGATTTCTACACATTGATTTTGTATCCTGAGACTTTGCTGACGTTGTTTATCAGCTTAAGGAGATTTTGGGCTGAGATGATGGGGTTTTCTAAATATACAATCATGTCATCTGCAAACAGGGACAATTTGACTTCCTCTTTTCCTAACTGAATACCCTTTATTTCTTTCTCCTGCCTGATTGCCCTGGCCAGAACTTCCAACACTATGTTGAATAGGAGTGGTGAGAGAGGGCATCCCTGTCTTGTGCCAGTTTTCAAAGGGAATGCTTCCAGTTTTTGCCCATTCAGTATGATATTGACTGTGGGTCTGCCATAAATAGCTCTTATGATTTTGAGATACGTCCCATCAATACCTAGTTTATTGAGAGTTTTTAGCATGAAGCGCTGTTGAATTTTGTCAAAGGCCTTTTCTGCATCTCTTGAGATGATCGTGTGGTTTTTGTCTTTGGTTCTGTTTATATGATGGATTTATGTTTATTGATTTGCATATGTTGAACCAGCCTTGTATCCCAGGGATGAAGCCAACTTGATCGTGGTGGATAAGCTTTTTGATGTGCTGCTGGATTCGGTTTGCCAGTATTTTATGGAGAATTTTTGCATCGATGTTCATCAGGGATATTGGTCTAAAATTCTCTTTTTTTGTTGTGTCTCTGCCAGGCTTTGGTATCAGGATGATGCTGGCCTCATAAAATGAGTTAGGGAGGATTCTCTTTTTTTCTATTGATTGGAATAGTTTCAGAAGGAATGGTACCAGCTCCTCTTTGTACCTCTGGTAGAATTCGGCTGTGAATCCATCTGGTCCTGGACTTTTTTTGGTTGGTAGGCTATTAATTATTGCCTCAATTTCAGAACTTGTTATTGGTCTATTCAGGGATTCAACTTCTTCCTGGTGTAGTCTTGGGAAGGTGTATGTGTCCAGGAATTCATCCATTTCTTCTAGATTTTCTAGTTTATTTGCATAGAGGTGTTTATAGTATGCTCTGATAGTAGTTTGTATTTCCGTGGGATCAGTGGTGATATCCCCTTTATCATTTTTTATTGCGTCTATTTGATTCTTCTCTCTTAGTCTTCTTAGTGGTCTATCAATTTTGTTGATCTTTTCAAAAAACCAGCTCCTGGATTCATTGATTTTTTTAAGGGTTTTTTGTGTCTCTATCTCCTTCAGTTATGCTGTGATCTTAGTTATTTCTTGTCTTCTGCTAGTTTTTGAATGTGTTTGCTCTTGCTTCTCTAGTTCTTTTAATTGTGATGTTAGGGTGTCAATTTTAGATCTTTCCTGCTTTCTCTTGTGGGCATTTAGTGCTATAAATTTCCCTCTATGCACTGCTTTAAATGTGTCCCAGAGATTCTGGTATGTTATGTCTTTGTTCTCATTGGTTTCAAAGAACATCTTTATTCCCACCTTCATTTTGTTATGTACCCAGTAGTCATTCAGGAGCCAGTTGTTCAGTTTCCATGTAGTTGAGTGGTTTTGAGTGAGTTTCTTAATCCTGAGTTCTAGTTTGATTGCACTGTGGTCTGAGAGACAGTTTGTTATAACTTCTGTTCTTTTACATTTGCTGAGGAGTGCTTTACTTCCAACTATGTGGTCAGTTTTGGAATAAGTGCAATGTGGTGCTGAGAAGAATGTATATTCTGTTGATTTGGGTGGAGAGTTCTACAGATGTCTATTAGGTCCACTTGGTGCAGAGCTGAGTTCAATTCCTGGATATCCTTGTTAACTTTCTGTCTCATTGATCTGTCTAATGTTGACAGTGGGGTGTTAAAGTCTCCCATTATTATTGTGTGGGAGTCTAAGTCTCTTTGTAGGTCTCTAAGGACTTGCTTTATGAATCTGGGTGCTCCTGTATTGGGTGCATATATGTTTAGGGTAGATAGCTCTTCTTGTTGAATTGATCCCTTCACCATTATGTAATGGCCTTCTTTGTCTCTTTTGATCTTTGTTGGTTTAAAGTCTGTTTTATCAGAGACTAGGATTTGCAACCCCTGCTTTTTTTATTTGTTTTCCACTTGCTTGGTAGATCTTCCTCCATCCCTTTATTTTGAGCCTATGTGTGTCTCTGTACATGAGATGGGTCTCCTGAATACAGCACACTGATGGGTCTTGACTCTTTATCCAATTTGCCAGTCTGTGTCTTTTAATTGGAGCATTTAGCCCATTTACATTTAAGGTTAATATTGTTATGTGTGAATTTGATCCTGTCATTATGATGTTAGCTGGTTATTTTGCTCGTTAATTGATGCAGTTTCTTCCTAGGATCGATGGTCTTTACAATTTGGCATGTTTTTGTAGTGGCTGGTACCGGTTGTTCCATTCCATGTTTAGTGCTTCCTTCAGGAGCTCTTTGTAAGGCAGGCCTGGTGGTGACAAAATCTCTCAGCATTTGCTTGTCTGTAAAGGATTTTATTTCTCCTTTACTTATGAAGCTTAGTTTGGCTGGATATGAAATTCTGGGTTGAAAATTCTTTTCTTTAAGAATGTTCAATATTGGCCCCCACTCTCTTCTGGCGTGTAGAGCTTCTGCCGAGAGATCTGCTGTTAGTCTGATGGGCTTCCTTTTGTGGGTAAATTGATCTTTCTCTCTGACTGCCCTTAACATTTTTTCCTTCATTTCAACTTTGGTGAATCTGACAATTATGTGTCTTAGAGTTGCTCTTCTCGAGGAGTATCTTTGTGGCGTTCTCTGTATTTCCTGAATTTGAATGTTGGCCTGCCTTGATAGGTTGGGGAAGTTATCCTGGATAATATCCTGTAGAGTGTTTTCCAACGTGGTTCCATTCTCCCCGTCACTTTCAGGTACATCAATCAGACGTAGATTTGGTCTTTTCACATAGTCCCATATTTCTTGGAGGCTTTGTTTGTTTCTTTTTACTCTTCTTTCTCTAAACTTCTCTTCTCGCTTCATTTCATTAATTTGATCTTCAATCACTGATATCGTTTCTTCCACTTGATCGAATCGGCCACTGAAACTTGTGCATGTGTCACGTAGTTCTCAAGCCATGGTTTTCAGCTCCATCAGGTCATTTAAGGTCTTCTCTACGCTGTTTATTCTAGTTAGCCATTCATCTAATCTTTTTTTTCAAGGTTTTTAGCTTCTTTGCGATTGGTTCAAACATCCTCCTTTAGCTCGGAGAAGTTTGTTATTACTGATCGTCTGAAGCCTTCTTTTCTCAACATGTCAAAGTCATTCTCCGTCCAGCTTTCTTCCATTGCTGCGAGGAGCTGCATTCCTTTGGAGTAGAAGAGGCACTCTGATTTTTAGAATTTTCAGCTTTTCTGCTCTGGTTTCTCCCCATCTTTGTGGTTTTATCTACCTTTGGTCTTTGATGATGGTGACGTACAGATGGAGTTTTAGTGTGGATGTCCTTTCCGTTTGTTAGTTTTCCTTCTAACAGTCGGAACCCTCAGCTGCAGGTCTGTTGGAGTTTGCTGGAAGTCCACTCCAGTCCTGTTTATCTGGGTATCACCAGTGGAGGCTGCAGAACAGCAAATATTACAGAACAGCAAATGTTGCTGCCTGATCCTTCCTCTGAAAGCTTCGTCTCAGAGGGGCACCTGACTGTATGTGGTGTCAAATGGCCCCTACTGGGAGGTGTCTCCCAGTTAGGCTACTCGGGGGTCAGGGACCCACTTGAGGAGGCAGTCTGTCCATTCTCAGATCTCAAATTCTGTGCTGGGAGAACCACTACTCTCTTCAAAGCTGTCAGACAGGGACCTTTAAGTCTGCAGAAGTTTCTGCTGCCCTGCCCCCAGAGGTGGAGTCTACAGAGGCATGCAGGCCTCCTTGAGCTGCGGTGGGCTCCACCCAATTCAAGCTTCCCAGCCACTTTGTTTACCTACTCAAGCCTCAGCAATGGCGGATGCCCCTCCCCGAACCTCGCTGCCGCCTTGCAGTTCGATCAGACTTCTGTGCTAGCAATGAGCAAGGCTCCGTGGGCGTCGGACCCTCTGAGCCAGACACGGGATATAATCTCCTGGTGTGCCATTTGCTAAGACCGTTGGAAAAGCGCAGTATTAGGGTGGGAGTGAACCAATTTTCCAGGTGCCGTCTGTCACCGCTTCCCTTGGCTAGGAAAGGGAATTCCCGGACCCCTGCACTTCCCGGGTGAGGCGATGCCCCACCCTGCTTCAGCTCACACTCGCGTGGGCTGCACCCACTGTCCGACAAGCCCCAGTGAGATGAACCTGGTACCTCAGTTGGAAGTGCAGAAATCACCCATCTTCCGCATCACTCACACTGGGAGCTGTAGACTGGAGCTGTTCCTATTCGGCCATCTTGCCATGGTTGATCACTTTTGTCATATTTTTAAAATTTCAGTTTGCCCAATTTTGCAGATGTTGTTTTGACTGTGCTGCTCTCTGAGGGCTCAGTGAATGCCATCTCTCTACAAAGCAGTCACATTCGGATTCTGCTCTTGCAGCCACATCTGGCTTTGACCAGTTGCTGCTGCCTGTTCTACAAACCCCACCTGGAAATCTCACAGAGCTGGTGCCCAGTTCCTCAGGGTGATGACCGGAGAGGGTGCAGAACGCAGTAGGTGACCTCTGCAAAGCCCCAAACCATTGCTTGCTATTTAACCATTGCCTGCTATTCAACCATTGCCTGTCATTTAACCATTGCCTGCTATTTAACCATTGCCTGCTATTCAGGGGCTGACTGAAGAACAAAACTCAGGGGGCCATAAAGAGGTTACTAATAGGAAAAAGATGGCAACTAAAGTTTACTGAGTTCGTTTCCAACATGCGTGGGTTGTGGCCCATGCCCCCAGAGTTAGGACGTGTGTGGCTGGGAGCTGAATCCAGACACAAGGGCCCAGCACCACTCTCTAAGGTTGCTGAAGACACTAAAAGCCATGATTATATAAAACATGATTGCAGTGCGGGGGGCTAGAGAAGGGAAATAAAAGGAAGATCAGAATATACAATCACACCTTGACCTCAGGCAGCGCTGTGGTCAGTTCCTTACCTACGACATAAAGATAAAATGCCCAACTCAAAGGTTTGGTGTGAAGAGCAGATGCTAAAATATTTAAAGCACTGAATATGCACCCTGCACCAGCCAGTACATTTTTCTTCTCCTGATTTCTACTACATTTGACCTTTGAACAACATGGGCTCAGACTTCATTGGTCCACTTATATACAGATTTTCTTCCGCCTCTGCCACCCCTGAGACAGCAAGACCAACCCCTCTTCCTGGCCTCCTCAGCCTACCCAACATGAAGACAACAAGGATGAAGACCTCTATGATGATCCACTTCCACTTATGAATAGTACATACATTTTCTCTTTTTGATGATTTGCTTAATCATGTTTTCTTTTCTCTAGCTTACTTTAGAAGAATACCAGATATAACACATATACAAAATACATGTTAATCAACTGTTTGTTATTGGTAAGGCTTCCAGTCAACTGTAGGCTATTAGTAGTTAAGTTTTAGGGAGTCAAAAGTTACATGTGGCTATTTGACTCCAAAACAAAATAAACAATTTAAAATCAGAGAAAGACAGGAAAGAAATTAAGAAGCATGCCCTGAATCCACTTCTAGGCAGCCCTGAATCTGCTATCCCCAAAGACCTCCTTATTCTCAGCTCCTACTCCTCTCTAAGTAGTCAGTCACAAGACCTGGCTGCATTCTGGTCAGGATCCCAGGGATGCCTATCCTCCCTGGAGACCCCAACAATATTTCAAGCCTCCAGGCAAGCTCTTCCCTGACGCAGGTAGAGAGGGGTCTTAGGCTCCCCTTCCCCACCATTCCCCAAGGCTCCTGCTCCTTCCTCGCTCCAGTGGGTGGGCCCAGCTCCTCTCTGCAGCCCATCCCAGAAGTGCCATGGAGAATTTCTACTAAAACAGGGGAGGCAAGGACCCTGTAGGAAAGACCTCACAATCCAAACACTGCTGATGGGAGCCTTGAGGAGTACACAGTTCACTGTTCAAGCACACGCCAACAGTCAGAACCTCCCACAGCTGCAGATATGGGCACCATGTTACGTGGGGAAATGGCCTTATGATCATTAGCTCTAACCAACTTTAACAATTATATAATTACATAGGTGATTGCTATGAAATATAACAAATATGTATAATTATACATTTATAATAACCTTTTATCATTTAGCTTTTAACTGATAATAATTTAGGTTAAAAATTAAAGCCCTCATCCTCAGAAGCATCCAAAATGCAAAAGCGAAGCTACTAAGTTTCTGGTGCCTGAATGTGGTGTCATTCTTCCCTGTAGCGGTGCTGGAGGGCCGGGTCTCTCTCCTGGCATCATAAGGAGGCTTGGGAGACAGGACGGTGCCTTCACACTCACAACACCCTCACCTGGAGGTCAGTCGTCAAGTTACAGGGTGCCCACCAGACCCTCTCTGTGCCTGATAAATAAAGCCAAAACAGATTTGGTTTTATTATATTTGCCATTGTGCTGTTCAGCTTAAGAGATTACTAATAGGAAAAAGAAGTAGATAGACAAAAACAAAGTGGAGTTAAGGAAGAAAGGCCTCTGCTGTCCTATCTGTAAAGATGGAGGAGGGAAATGATGGCACCCTCTCCAGTCATCACCCTGAGGAACTGGGCATCAGCTCTGTGAGAGGGTCTGGTTTTTATTAATAAAAATTAATAAAAGCACAAAGTGAAACTACTAGCACGGAATAAACAGAAAGGTGCCTCCCAGCTCTAGCCCAAGAGTTCTTGCTGCAGGTGTTAAGTGGGCCCCAGCAACGCTGTGAAGGGGAACAGTATTCAGCAGCCCAATGCGTCTCTTGTGTCCTGGTACTCAACACAGTCTGGGATTGCTGAGGGAGGCGGGCTGCCTGCTGCTCCCATCGCCTGCAGGTTCTGTTGTGGTGCCAAGCAGTCCCTTTGTGCACTAAGCAGCTAGCTCCAAGCTGTACCACACTTACACTTCCTCCCTTGTCCCCACTCTGTCCCCTCTTCTAAGCTTCCCCATCCCTCCAGGCTCAGTTCACACCCATACTTCCAGGAAACCTCCCCTGGGTATTAGGCCATGCAGACACGGTGGGGGTAGCAGGGGGCGGGGGGCGCTTCCTAACTGCCCAACACTAAGTGAGCTTGGCTCCTGTGGGCATGTGCTGGTATTTTATTTTTACTTTTAATTTTTGTGAGACAGTCTCGCTCTGTTGCCCAGGCTGGAGTGCAGTGGCACGATCATGGCTCACTGCAATCTCTGCAACCAGATTTCAGCACTTTCTGTGACACCAAACTGGGAGCCCAGCTGTGCCTGCCCCATCCCAGAATCTCCCAAGCATCTGCTCTTCCCACTCACACGTCCGCACCATCAGATGGCGCTCAGGCTAGAAGCCGAGGGTCCAAGAAGGCCAAGCTCTTGAAAGCCATCAGGATTATATTAGGGGGTGATTTTGCCCCCAAGGGGACAAAAATTGGTTCTTGGAGGGGGCGTGGGGTGGACAAAAATCTTACTCTTTTATGTGTAAAGCACAGATACGTCCACAGCACATGAATGATAGTCCCTCTGCAGTATAAAGCATCATGGGAGATGATTAGGGAAAAAGTGTCTGAAAAGGTTCCTTAGAGGGGAAATGATGAAAACATTTGAGTAGCACCACAACCCATCTTTGACCCCGACCAGTCTGCTCTGAACAGGCAGCAGGGCAAAGCAGATTCTTGATGACACCAGTGCTCAGCACAGCCCAGCCCCTCGCCCCAGCACCTCGTCCCAGCCTCTTACCCTATCCCCTCACCCCAGCCCTGCATCCCAGCCTCTCACCCTATCCCCTCATCCCCGCACCTCATCCCAGCCTCTCACCCTATACCCTCATCCCAGCACCTCATCCCAGCCTCTCACCCTATCCCCTCACCCCAGCCCTGCATCCCAGCCTCTCATCCTATCCCCTCACCCCAGCCCTGCATCCCAGCCTCTCACCCTATGCCCTCACCCCAGCCCTGCATCCCAGCCTCTCACCCTATCCCCTCACCCCAGCCCTGCATCCCAGTGTCACCCTATCCCCTCACCCCAGCACTGCATCCCAGCCTCTCACCCTATGCCCTCACCCCAGCCCTGCAACCCAGCCTCTCACCCTATCCCCTCACCCCAGCCCCTTGAGGTGCCCATTTCCATGCTGCATGTGTCCCTGGCAGGGAGTGAAGGAACCAGCTCAGCCTGGAGTGCTCTCTGGAGCTCATGGGTAAAGGGCTGCTGCCACAGGCACTACATCCAGCTTGGCATGGCCTGGCTCCTGGAGCCTTCCAAAGAGGGTGGGCAGCCAGCGGCTGGTACAATAAGGCCTGAGAGGCGGGCACTGCTGCTCCCTGCCCATGACATAGCCTCTAAAACCCAGGAGAGGGACACTGGGCACTGCTTTTGGGAGAGAGTCCTGACATCTGGAGATTACAGCACATGGACGCGGAGTGGACAACCTCAGGAGTGAACACAGCTTCCCACCCCATGGTGGAAAAAAGCTCACAGGTGGAGCTTTCAGAAGAGGAAACGCCGAGGCATACCACTGGCTTGAGTGAGGATAACAAGAGGCAGGGAGAGGCCTGGCACTTCCCACCCTCAATGCACCTCAATGGGAGAAGAGGATGAGGAAGGGCCTAGAGTTTCCTCCTGCCCCCACCACCATTGCCACTCCAGTGCCCTGACATTGAGATTTTAAACTCCCTTCCCATAGAGCAGTCCAAGACCATGAAGCCACAACACCAAGTGTTTCTGATGACCCAGGCCTGGACCAGTCCCTTTTCTTATCCACCACGTGCTGATGTGGAGCCTGCTGACACCCAGGGCTGCACAGGAGCTTGGATGTGGCAGGGAGCAAAACAATCCTAGTGGCCAAGCAATAAACACACAGACAGTCACATAACTATAGAAAGTGCTGTGTGAGAGTCCAGGTGCAGAGGCTCACAACTGTAATCCCAGCACTTTGGGAGTCCCAGGTGGGCGGAGCACTTAAGGCCAGGAGTTTGAGACCAGCCTGGCCAACATAGTGAAAACCTGTCTCTAATAAAAATACAAAAATTAGCTGGGCATGGTGGCGCATGCCTGTAATCCCAGCTACTCAGGAGGCTGGGGCAGCAGAATCGCTTGAACCCAGGAGGTGGAGGCTGCAGTGAGCTGAGATCATGCCACTACACTCCAGCCTGGGCGACAGAGAGAAGCTCTAAGGGAAGGGAAGGGAGGGGAGGTGAGGGGAGGAGAGGGGAGGGGAGGAGAGGGGAGGGGAGGAGAGGGGAGGAGAGGAGAGGGGAGGAGAGGAGAGGAGAGGAGATGGGAGAAGAGGGGAGGGGAGGGGAGGGGAGGGAGGCTGATCCTTCTGGGGGGCCCAGAAGGCCTCTCAGATGACGCGTATATGAGAAGAGACCTGAGAGAGAGGGGAGCCAGCCTCGTGGCTCTCTGGGGACATGGGGAAGCAGGGAGGGCTTCCATATTCAAGGACAGCAAGGAGGCCCAGGAGGGTGGAGCTCAGTGGGCAAGGACGAAGGGAAGGAGAGGGTGCCAAGGGGCCTCTGAAAGGGGTCTGGCTCTTACTCTTGGTGAGACAGGAAGTCACTGGAAGTTTAGCGTGATGTATGACTTGATCCACCTGAAATACAGTCTACTAGAACCTGTGCCACAAAGGGATTGGTTTTGCCCACTGGTGTACATCCAGTGCCTGGAACTGGGGACACATTTCAGAGCATGACTTTGGCTGCTGTGTGGAGAAAGAAGTGCAGCAGGTTACGGGTGGAAGGCAGGTGTTGAAGCAGGCTACTGCAGTCAGCCCAACAGGGGTGGTGGGCTCGGTGGGCATAGTGGAAATGGTGAGAAATGATCATATTTAGGATGATATATGCTACAGGCAGAGCCAGTGGAACTTGCTGTTGGGTTCAACGTGGTGTAAGAGACAGAGGAGAATTCAGGAGTGAAGCTAAGGTTTTTGTCCTGAATAGCTGGGGAAGGACTTGCTGTTAACTGGGTTGGGGAGCATGGGGGAGAGGAAGGTGTGTGGAGGGAGATAGAGGGGCAGGTGATGGAGGAGTCTGGCATTTGGGTTTGAACACATCAGTCATCCTTGGCTTAGTGGTAGGTTCTCGTGATGTTCTGTGTAGCCCTGGCCTCCCCTGGCCCTGCCCCGGACCCCCCATTCCCACCTGTCATCCTCTGGCCTCTCTGTCCCTGCTTCCTCCCAGGCTCTGTGGTCCACCTCTGTTCCTCTCCTACACCTAGTGGCACGTCTCCTCACAGCCCATGCCCAGTCAGTCATCAGGGACAGTTTACCTGCCAGGTTTCCACCCATCTGGGCACTTGGCAAGACTAGAAATCTGACTACATCAAGCCTAGGAGCAATGAGAGCTTGGTAGCCATAAATACCATCAGCCCTTAGATTTTGTTCTCTAAACACCGTACCTGTGGTGTGTGTAGTATTCCTGGGAAAACTGTCAAACTCAAAGTATCAAGCACCCATACATAACTTCTAGTTTACAGGCAGGTCAAGAGGGAGGAGTAGGTTAAACGCCCTCACGATGAGCACCCACACACCCAGAGCACAGGAGGTTCTACGAGGCAGTGCTGGGCTTTTCACAAATTAAGGAAAAAAGAGGTTGGGTGGAGCGGGGGGTCTGTTCTAAATTAAGAGAAACTTCAGAGACATAAAAACGAAATGCAATGTATGGGCCCTATTTAAATCCCTATGTAAATACTCCAAATGTTTAAAAAAAAAAAAAAAAACAAGAGGGAGATAGTTTGGAAACAATTAGAGAAATCTGAATATAGGTGGTATTACATTATATTAAGAATGCCATTAATTTATATTCTTTTGATAATGACATTCTGATTATGTTTTTAAGATGTCTTTTTTTTTTTTTTTTTTTTTTCCAAAGACAGGGTCTCACTCCGTCACCCAGGCTGGAGTGCAGTAGTGCAATCTCAGCTCACTGCAGCCTTGACCCCCTGCGTTCAGGTGATTCTCCTGCCTGAGCCTCCCAAGTAGCTGGGGCTACAGGCCTGAGCCACCACACCTGGCCAAGATGTCTTGAATCTTTATAAAACACATCTCATGACAATGTGGGGTGATATTTCATGACATACAATGTCTGGAATTCAATTTTTACATTTTCATCAATCAACTCGATACCTGCCAGTAGGATGAAATATTTAAAGTGAAATCTAGATTCTTTGACTTTGGAGAATCCTTATGCTATTCTCTCTACTCTTACATAGATTTTAATTAAAAAGTTCAAGAAACAAGTTGCCTCTTCCACAGAAAATAAGTCCAGGAAGCAATGATCATCACGGCAGAGGCATCACCCGAAACCTCTCAGTCCTGGCTTGGGCACCGCTGCCTCTTCTCTAGCAGCAGCCGGAAGAGAGACAAAGACAAAAATGGCATAAAACTGTTCATCCCTAAAATATAGATCACGGTCATGCCTGGATTTTCTTTTTTTTAATTTCTGAAAGAGATGAAGATTACAATGCAATTTGAAAATACTTTGCATTTCAATGCCACTATATTTGAAGCGATTAAAAGGTCTAAAGTTCCCGAAGAGTAAAAGTAGTCCCTTTTCTGCCCCTCCTTTGCTTACTGCATGGAGTAGTGAGAAATTCTCGAAATCTTCCATTTTCTCCTCACCCCATTAACAAGGAAAGTCTCATTGCCTACTCTGGGCTGCAGAGCAGTCAAGCCACTGAGGTTGGACCTTCCAGCCCCCCACTTCTTGGGAGGCTGACTGACTATGGGCAGCTCCAACCCCCATGCCTCAGTCTCCTGATGGCTAACCTGGAACACTCATGCTTAAGATGAGTGAATCAGAGCCTGACTAACATGATGATGAATCACATTTCTTAGCCTACAAATCTGGGAATCAGACTCTGGAACGAGGCACAGGCAGTCCACGAGAAACCCTGCCACCTCCCTGCTGTCTCCCAGGGCTCCTCTATTTGCAGCCACATGGTATGTTTCCAAGAATTTCAACTTAGAGCAACTCGTGTTCCTGTGCACACCACCGACGGCCCCTGCAGTCCACCGGCTCGCTGCCGTCACTGGTTCTGTCCGCCCACATCTTCCATGTCCACCACCGCCTGTCCTCCCTTCCATCTCCAGCACTGCCCTCCTTACCTCTTGATGACCTTCTACCCAGTCTCTCTGCCTCCAAAGTCACCCGCTCCGCATGCCAGTCTCATGCCTTGCCGCCACTTCCTCCTGTTAGACGCCTCTGCTGGCTCCGCACGATCAACCAGATGACTGCAGGCTCCCCAGCAAGCCCCAACTCCAGGCCACCCTCTCCTTCCCCCACTTCTCCCCACCGCACTTCCTGAGCTAAAGCCCAGAGCAACTGCAACGCTGTTCCTGGAACTACCTAGAATTCTCTGTACCTACCCCAAGCTCTGGGTTCTTGCTCAAGCTGTTCTCTTGGCCCAAAAGACCATTCCTTTCTAAAGGATGTCCAGCCTTTTCTGTTTTCCAAGTTTCAGTTCAAATAAGACCACCCACTTGCCCCTCACCTCCCTTAGGAGTAGTCTCTCTCTTCAACTCGCCTGAATCCCCCACGAGGGACACAGCCTCAGACTCTGAAGTCAGACCTGAATTTGAATTCCCATTCCACGATTTACTAATAACATCGGCATATTACTTAACCTTGCTGACTTTGTTTTATCTGTAAAAATGGAATAATATGATAATCACTCACAGAACTGCTGTGAACATCTAAGAAGAGAAGACTAAGGTTTGCAAAAGAACTGTGAGTGGCAATGATGTTGGTGGTCACCTTTTTCCCGGAACCTCTTGCTCCGCCTTCCATACTTTCTTTCTCACCTTCTATTCACAGGCACGTTTTGTCTTGTTCAGTATTCTTCTACCATAGAGTGTGCTTTCCTCAACAGCAGGGTCTTGTCTTGTTCATTTCGTTGTTGTTGCTGCCCACAGCATGCAAGGCAGGGTTTGCCCAACCATGGGTCTCAAGAAATATTGGAATCCAACAGTATGGGTGACAGCAGCAGTTGTGTAGCTAAGGAAAAATTCACCAGGATCCAAATCACAGCAAAAATCAGTTAAGGATGGTATGGTCCTGAAGCCCATTTATTTATTTATTTATTTATTTATTTATTTATTTATTTATTTATTTAGAGACAGGGAGGGTCTCACTGTCTCGCTCAGGCTGGATGGAGTGCAGTGGCACAATCTCAGCTCACCGCAACCTCTACCTCTCGCGTTCAAATTCTCCTGCCTCAGCCTCCCAAGTAGCTGGGATTACAGGTGTCCACCACCACACCCAGCTAATTTTTTTTGTATGTTTAGTAGAGACAGGGTTTCACCATGTTGGCCAGCCTGGTCTCAAACTCCTGATCTCAAGTGATCTGCCCAACTCAGCCTCCCAAAGTGCTGGGCTTACAGGCGTGAGCCACCGTGCCCGGCCCAACTTTTTTTATTTTAAAAGCACCATTATAAAATTACTAACTTGTTTAGGAATATTTAAAGCAAATTGTAAAATCTACATAAGATAAATACCTGCTCTAAATTTTCATCTAATTAATGTCTTCTCTCACCTTTCCCTTATTGAAATGTAATTCAGCTGATTTTCATTATCCAAATTCATTACCCACAGAGCAGAGAAATACGTATACATTAAAATGCAGTTTTAATATGTACAAATATATAATAAAATGCTATATATGTACTTTCTAATTTTGAAATGGATAAATTAAGATGCTAAAATATACACAATTACCAAAATAATTTTTACAGGCAGAAATGTGGAAGGGACTCTATCCCGGCACTGTTTTTTAAAAAACATTGTCTTTACATGGGACATTGATTGCTTCCATATCTCAGCCTAGGACGCCTTAGGATATTTAATTTTGTCTCTCTTCTAGTAGAAAACCAACTTTTTCAGTAGAGCAGCTTTTAATTATTAAGGATTATGTATAAATTGCACATTTTTCTATCAGACTTGTGATAAATTAGGTCACCAGATAATTCTGAGATCCTCTCCTTACATCACTTGTTTCAAGTGAAACTTCCCAGTGTTTCCAACAACGTAATATTCTGTCCCTATTAAGATGACCAGGTAAAATACAAGGTACCCCATTACATTTGAATTTCAGATAAATTACACTTTATTTTTTAGCATAAGTATGTCCCACGCAATACTAAACGACATTATGAGGCATGCAATATCTGGGACACATACTAAAAAATCATGTGTATATGAAATTTAAATTTAGCTGGGTGTGCTGAATTTTTATTTGTTAAATCTGGCGATTCCAGTCCTTGTTAACCCAGCAGTCACCATGGTAACAAGCACGGCCGTGCCTCTGGGAGGGCAGCTTGGGGAGGAACTGAACAGGGCACCTCTGGGTTGAGCAGCCAGCGGCCGTCGAATGGGGCTTCCGTAAACATCATTCCCTAGAATCCCGAGAGCCACCTGGTGAGATCGGCATCGCTATCTCATTTCACCAATGGCAAATGGAAGAGAGATGGCTTTCCCAAGGTCATGCCCATTCTGGGGGCAGAATTCCTGTACCAGCTGCTGCTGACCCTGATGCTGAGGGCTCAGTCCTCTTGCTTTGCTGGCCTCGTGCACGTGCAGAACACGTGTTTCTTAGAATCTTAGTAATTTTGAAGTAATAAATCTGTGCCTATTTTATATCCCCATCTTTAAAACATCCCTGATAAATCATTTTGCCAGGGTTTCATCTACCAGGTGAGCTTTATCTAATCAAGCTATGAGGCTGGTGAGTGGGCATGCAACAGTGTTGCTAAACCCGGATTGTCTGGCAGCCCTGGGAAGACCAAGGCCAGGAATTAGGAGGCTTTCCCATCTGCGGACTGTCCTGCCTCCTCCCCATCTGGCTCTTGTGGTGAAGTCTAATGAGTGTGCCAAGACCAGCAGGGTGCCCTGAGGTCACAGCTCAGGTGATGGGTGGGGTCCAGGGAAGGGGCACGAACAGGATGGAGGAGCAGGGAAGAGGAGGAAGGCATTGAGGAATCGGGGTGAAGAGAGAACCCACATGTATTGTACACACACTGTAGCCACACAGTGAGTGAGGCTCGTCACATGCGGAATTCACTTACTTACAACCTTAGTTGCCCGTCAGGACTATCCCTCCTCTGCACAGATGAAGAAGCTGAGGCTCTGAAAGTCTTAGCAACTTGCCCCAGGCCACTGAGACGGTACGGACTTCTGTCTGTGCTGTACACTTGCACACGGCAGATCCAGGCCAGCTGCACATCCGTGGGCTCCTCCATCAGTCTCTGGCCCCCTCTTCCACCTCACTGTCTCCACCTGCCCCTTCCTCACCCACCGCCCTCCTAACCCCTCTCTCCTCCACCCAAAAAAGGGCTGAATGCCAACCTGAAATGTGGTTCTCTGAGTATTTGTTTTCATTTTCAAGATAGCACTGAGTTTTGTGCAGGCCCAGGCTCTGTTCTGTCTTATCAGTTCTGAAATGCTCCGTTGGTTCACATTTTAACATGCTGAAATCAGGGTGTGTCTCACTATTGATGGCATCCCTTAGTTTAATTGGAGCATTTCTTTTCCTTTCTTAGAGATGCATAATAAATATGCACCTTACGGTCAATGACTAGAGTCTATGAAATACAGGAATTAAAACGAAACAGGGTGACCTTAGGAAGCTGATGTCATTTAGATGAGCTGTATCTGAAGTGCAGCCATGTATGTGGGAAGTGCCAGGGTCAGGGGAAGGGAGGGATGAATAAGGAACACGGGATTTTTATGGCAGTGACGCTCTGCTGCAGGACATTGTCTTCATGGGCACATGACATTATGCATTAGTCAAAATAATGTATCATTATCAACATTGGTTCATCAATTGTAACAAATGTACCAGACTAATGGAAAAGCGAGTGAGCAAGTGAGAGAGAGAGAGACTGAATGTAAGAGAGTATATGGAAACTATCTGTACTTCCTTCACAAATTTTCTGTAAACTTAAAAGTGCTCTTAAAAAATAGCCCATTAATTTTTTAAAAGGCAGAGTGATTTGATCCTTTTATATTTCTCCCATTAAAAAAGGTTAAAGAAAATACATAAAATACTATTTTATAGTTCTGATTCTCCCTCTGCCTCCCAACTGGTTTTAGCTATCTGTGGCCAATCAGCAGAGAGCTCATGGGAAGCTTTACCCAGAAGAAACCAAGGGAAAAAAAAAAAAAAAAAGATCCTTAGACCTTAAGATATTGATCAAAGGAGTAGAAAGATTCTCATTCCACCTTAACTTCTGAATATTCCAAATCTCACTCTCTAATCATGCCAATGGGAAAGAAAGACAAGCAATATGCCAATATAGGTCTGAAGGAAAAAGGAACAATTTATATATGATCTAAAATACCCATCTCTAGAATAAAGACAAGCAGAAATAAACTAATCATTAAAAAGTCAATTTTGTGGTTCTTGGGTAGTAATTAGATGTATTTATCCAATAGACTGTAATCTAAGGTTATAACAATAGTCAGACTTTGTTCTTTGTTCCCAATAAATATATCCAGATGTCCAGAGGAAAAAAGTTTTTTCCAGTCTGGATTTCCCATGAAGACAGACTGGTTAGACCCATGCTAATCTTGGTTCAAATCTCCTCAGCACCCCTGCTTTGGTTTTTTAACTCCTTAAGAACACAATATGGAGAAGGTTAATCATTTGATTCCAAATATAATAACATTCATTAAGTGCTTACTGTGGGCCACACCTAGTGACAAATGGTTTACAAACATTATCTATGTAACAACGCAGTTAGCATACACTTGACAGACGAGAACACCAAAATGTAGAGGAGTTAACATAAATACCCAGGATCACAAAGCCAGCAGATATCACACCCAGACTCAGACCAGGCCTGTGTCACTTCACATCCCACACTCTAACCCACTGTGCTGTGCTGCAAATTAGGAATAAGAAGTATGGAAGAGTTAAAATGTGGTACTTAGGAACTGAATGAAACCAGGAAAATAATACCATTGCCATATAAATTCAGTTGGAGAGACGTCATTCTGAAAGCTGGCTCAGACCAAGGGGGCCAATCCCACCTGCCCCACCATGGCCCTAAAATTAGAATATCAAGGGGAACCAAGTATCTTAGATACAAGGAGGGACACTGTCCACTTCCAGCAGCTCTGAAAGTGGGTGAAACTAGAGCCAGACAGGACTAAAGATGTATACATATTCTTTCTACCTGTCATAGTCCTGAAGATGTTGATTAATTAGATTAAAAGTACAAGGTTAAATTGCAGCTGTTTGACTTTTGTGGACTGACATTTAAAATATCAGAAACAAAGATTGTGTCAGATACAGATTACATGAGTTGGGAGACTGTCTCTACACCAATCCATTCCATAAGGATGTAGGTGCAGAAGAGAGTTACACATAGCATGGACAAAACTAAACTGCAAGGAGGCCATTGTTGCCTCAACAAGCCAAGGCTGGTTTGATTTCCTGACTACAGTCTTGAACAAGTGATTTAACTGTGTTTCTTTCAATGGTGCTTTCAATTCTCAATTCACCTTCCTCTCCCCTGGTTAGGACCAGAGCTGGGCAGTGTGTAGGGAGGTGTAACTGTTCTTGGATTTACAAGGATTGTCCTATTTTGTGCATTCCTTTTTTTTTTTTTTTGTCTCATGTTTCCATGGTGCCTTTCTTCTCTCTTCCTTCTCGCCTTCTTTTGCAATAAACATTTTTTCCCTCTACTAGTTTAGAAGTTATACTTTTTTTTTTTTTTTTTTTTTTTTTGGAGACAGAGACTTGCTCTGTTGCCCAGGCTGGAGTGCAGTGGCACAATCTCAGCTCACTGCAACCTCTGCCTCCCAGGTTTAAGCGATTCTCCTGCCTCAGCCTCCTGAATAGCTGGGATTACAGGTGCCTGCCACCACACGCAGCTAATTTTTGTATTTTTAGTAGAAACGGGGTTCCCCCATGTTGGCCAGTCTGGTCTCAAACTCCTGACCTCAGGTGATCTGCCCACTTCAGGCTCCCAAAGTGCTGGGATTACAGGGGTGAGCCACTGCACCTGGCTGGAAGTCATATATTTTTTAAATATCTCAATTTATCCTTCCTAGTGCCTTTTATGTTATTCTGGCCTAATATTCTAATATTGTCCTTCTAATTTAACTCCACAAGACTTTATCATTGTTTATACAGTGTTCATTTACATCTATCCACGTATCACCTTTTTTTCTCTTCTTTCATTCTTGTATCTCAGGTCATCTGAGATCTTTTTCCTTTTCCTGAAAATTTATCTTTAGCATTTTCTTTAGTGAGGATATGATGGTGAAAAACACAATTATTGTTTATCTGAAAATGTGTTTATTTTGCCATTATTCTTGGAAGTTATTTTTGCTAAGTGTAGAGTTCTAGACTAGAACTTCTTTTTCTTTCAGCACACATTAAAGATACGATTGCATCATCTTCTGGCTTCTGCTGCAGCTGGGAAGAAGTTAGACTTTAGGGTGTCGCTCTTTGGAAGGTGGTCTGTCACTCTTTGGAAGGTGTCTTTTCTCTTCTGGTGACATTTAATGTCTTGTATATTTTGGTGTTCCACAATTTCACTATGATGCATCTACGTGTGACTGGATTTTTCTTTTATTTTCCGTGGGTTTCACTGGGCTTCTTGAATCTTTGGATTAGTATTATTTGTCAGTTCTAGAAAATTCTGAGCCATTGTCTCTTCAAATACTGTCTCTTTCTTCCCTCCATCCCCATCTTCTGGAAGGACATACTTAATCTCTTTCCCATGTTTGTTAAAAAGTATTTTTTCATGTCTGTATCTCTGCTGCATTCTGGATATTTCCTTCTGATGTGTCTTCCAGTTCACTAACAGTCTTTCCAGCTGTGTTTAAGCTGACATGAAACCCATACGGTGAGCTTTTCAATCCAGTAGTTTCTTATTTCTACAGGTTCTTTTGATTCATTTTAAAACCTCCTAGGTTAATTTTTACAGTTTATTGTTTCTGACATGTGCCACATGCTCAGTCCAAGACTATCTGAAGCTAACATCATGGTTGGAGATTTCCAGAGCATCCGGGGGATCTGAATACACGCTGCAAATTTGCAAGCAGGCCGCTCTGTGGTCACCACTTTTCAGAGACTTTTATTATCCTCAGCTCAACTCAGACCAATACAAACTTCCGAGTTGGCCACTAGACCTGTGGGGTGATCAACCTTCCTTTTGGTTCATCTTTACATTGAGGTTACAGCCTTTCACAGTTCCAGTTTTATGGAGGAAGAATCCCTGTTAGACTCCAAGGCAGACTCTGGGCTTTGACGTCTGTGTTGACACTACTGGAATGCTGACAATCAGATTTTCTTGGCTTCGTATATATCCTCAGCAACGCTGTGGTGCCCTGACTATCTGCACTATCTTCCCTTAGATTTTGCCTGGTATGTCCTTACTATCTTGACAGCTCTTCGATACTTTTAAGATTTAAAAATATATTTTATCCAATATTTTTAGAAGAAGAGTTGGGCAAAATAACCTAAGCTGCCATATCATTGAAAATGGAAGTCAGTTCTGCTGAAGGTACTTTACTTTTCTAAGCCATAATTTTCCTGTATGTAAAAGAAGGTTACACGCAATCACTGTCTACAGCTATGCTGTCCACTCCATTAGCCACCAGCCACATGAGGCTGCTGAACATGTGAAATGTGACTAGTCCAAACTGAGATAAGCTGTAGGCATAAAATACACACTGGGTTTTGAAGATTTCCAACAAAAAAAGAAAATGCCAAATATCTCATTAATTTTTACAATGGATACATTTTGAACTGGTAATATTTTGAATACATTATGTTAATCAGATATATTAAAATTAATTTCACCTATCTCTTAATTTGGCTACCAGAAAATTTAAAATTACATGTGCAGTTCTCATTGTAATTTGGACGCACGACACTAATCTAAAAGATAAAGCTTCTTGGCAATGTTATAATGATGCTTTATGAGCTGCTCCTGTCTCCTCTGTCAGCCAAACCTGGTCCCCATTCCTTTCCAGAGTAGTGTGTGTGTGTGTTTGTGTGTGTGTGTGTGTGTGTGTTAGAATATGCGCATGTATGTGTGTATGTGTGTGTGTGCATGTAAGTATATGTGTGTGTCTGTGTGTCTATGTGTGTATGTGTATGTGTGCATGTGTGTATGTGTATGTGTGTATATATGTGTATGTATGTATGTGTGTCTATGTATGTGTACATGTGTGTATGTGTATGTGTGTATGTGTATGTATGTATGTGTATGTGTGTATAGATGCGTAGGTATGTATGTATGTATTGTGTGTGCGTATGTATGTGTATGTGCATATGTGTGTGTGTATTTGCATGTCCTTGCATGTGTCCTCGACAAGGCTGTTTCTTGACAGAGGAAACTTATTTTGTTCATCTTTAAGTTATCAGACTTGGTGCCTGTCACATTGCAGGAGCTCCTTAAACACTTCAGAAATTAATGAATAAAATGGTTTCCATGGATGATCTGATACACTTAGCTTTTAAAGAGGAACAACTTCCTTACTTCTAGTTTCCCTTAGAAAGGATCCTTCCTTAGATAAATTCCTGCCTTCCTGCACCTTACTTGCCCCGGGAGAAGCTTTGGCCACCACCTTCCAAGTCCTTGCTTAATTTCTCAAATTGTTTAGAAATATAACTGTGAAGAATACTATTTATTGAGGCCTTTCTGGGGATCTCAACATTAAGTACAAAATTAAATATATTCTTTTCTCCAAAAGAATAAAATACAACTTAATTTAACCACACCAGAAACATAATTCAGAATTTGAAGCAAATTTCTCATTTAACCGAAAACCAAGATGAAGGATAATTCAAGACAAGAAACTGGCACCTATTTTCAGGGTAAGAGTCCAGCTTTCCCTTTCCAGTGGCAGTCTTCCCAAAATAAAAGAAAAAAAGTAATTATTCAGAGAAGACAAGCACTGCAGGACAACCATTGGGCGGGTTATAAACACCTTTCATTATATGGCATGACCTGCAAGGAATGCTTCCATCATTCCAAGATTTAAAGCCACCTAGAAATACAGCAACTTCATGTTCATCAGAATCAGAAGTTTGTACAGTAGCCAGAGATCTTTAAAAGCTCAAAGCGCTTCCTAGCGCACACTTCATGTAACAGTTCACTCAGCAAGCCCATGATGCCTGTAGTATAAAAGCAAATGTTGCAGAACTTCATCATGTGATCAAAGCTGCAGAAGGAGAAAGAGACCTTGCATCAGGCTGTGTCATGCCTCAGTCACCTTTGACTACTCCGAAGAGGAAAGAACTCTAAGAAGGCCACCCTCTGTCTCTCAGATCCAAAACTACACATGCAGAGAACCTGGAGACATTTAGGGAGGCATGCCACACCCTCGGGGCTCGTCACACAGGCATGGCTCTACACTGCTCTCTGGGGCAGGTGTCAGGGCCAGCAGGCAGGCTGATTGTCTAGCGTTGGCATTAGGGCAAGTCTTGAATGTGAATGTTCTCAAGGTCCGCTCCGATCCTATCTTTTCCCAAAGCTTCCTGACATTGATCAGGCTCTCCCCACCGTGTGCAGAGGCAGCTCACACCCACAAGGCTCTGTGATTCACGTGCTGGATATTCTAGAGCCCCTGAAGGTGCCAGGACTTTAGGATTTGCATAACTTAATGAGGCTTAATGACCCACCATCCCAAGACAGAAATATAACCCTGACCTCTTTCTAGAATGGTGTGGTTCGCCATCTTAAGAGCACTGTCTTTCTAGGAGAAAAGAAATGGGACCTAGTAAGTTAAGGCATCAGACACTGAGTGGTGACACTTTACCAAAGAACAGCAATGTTAAGAAAAAGCCAGGAACTGGAGAGGCTAGGGGCTGGAGGGAAATCTGCAGAAAAGGTGTCCTGGAAACTATGAAAGTGTTTGAAAAGGAAAAAAAAGAGGCAGTCAGGGCAAACCCAACAGATAAGTCACATCAAATAACACCTAGTGCCTGGGTTGGGGATGATTAAGTCAGTGAGGGGTAGGACTGTGGTCCTATCCAGGGTCTGAAATAGGTCTGAAGCAACAGAGTTAGGGCAAAGACTAGAGTTACAAGTCACAGTTCAATCTAATGTGTTAAGAAGCAAGGAGAGGGTCACGCGTGGTGACTCAATGCCTGTAATCCCAGCATTTTGGGAGGCCGAGTCAGGCGGATCACTTGAGGTCAAGAGTTCGAGACCAGCCTGGCCAACATGGTGAAACCCTGTCTCTACCAAAAATACAAAAAATTAGCCTGGTGTGATGGTTTGCAGCTGTAGTCCCAGCTACTTGGGAGGCTGAGGCAGGAGAATCGCTTGAACCTGGGAGGCGGAGATTGCAGTGAGCCGAGATCGTGCTACTGTACTCCAGCCTAGGCAACAGAGAAAGACTCTATCTCCCCCCGCCAAAAAAAAAAAAAAAATGCCAAGGAGAGGAAAAGCTAGAGGAATGAGTGGTCAACTGGATGGTCAAGAAAGTCACATCAGGACTTGCTCACTGACCAAACATTTGGGCACTTACTGGGTGCCCGGAACTGCTCCAGGCACTGGGGAAGTCAGCTGTGAACAAGAGGCAAAGTCTGTGTCCTCTTGGAATTCTGTGTCCAATGGAGGAGGCAGTAATAGAAGCGCACAAGAGGTGAGTGCTTTACAGGAAAATGACACCAACCACTTTCCCAAACTTGTTTCATGGAACGGATCCAGGAACACTTTAATTTGCCGATACTAATGAGTATTTTAGGAGATGGGCCATTTGGAAAAAAATGAGATAAACCAATGCTTTTCCCTTTGGCCTTCTCCGAACGTTGAATGTGCTAATGGACAGTGAGCGCTTTCAGAGAGGGGCCAGGGCACGTAAGCCCTGACCTTGCACTGCTAGGGACATTAAAGAACTAGCGTTCCATAAAACAGTTTGGGAAATACTGCTCTAAGTGATTCTTGATGGAGTAAGTACACCTGCTTATGTTTATTTCTTAACATGTTATTCCATGTGGTCATGGTAAATATTTTCAACATCTAAACCTAGTTGGCCCCTCCTCTGGGAAATCTTCCACAGTGATAGCTGCCTCTTCCGACTCCCAAATGCTCCCAATGCACCCAACAGGCTCTCTCTCCTCCTGCCTCAGCCCTCTAGGAATGTACCGACTGATGTACGCATTACTCCTGGGGCTCATGTTTTCCTCTCCTGAACCACTCTGCCTCCTTGCCAGACATCTTTACATTCCCTGCTGTTCCTAACCTAGAGCCGTTGTCTTGCAGGAGCTCCTAGAAGGACTGGACAGGTGGAAGGGTGGGAGGCTAGAAGGAGAGCCTGGGAAGGAGACCACTGGCCTAGCCCCAGGGAGGTCACCCACAGAGGGCACCCAGGAGAGTTAAGTGCCTGCCGGAGTTCTGGAAATAAAATTACTTACGTGGACTCTAGAGGAAATGTCATCATCAATAAATACCCACTGCTGATTGATTGAAATGTGGTCTTGGCCTCACTGTCAATAGCAATGAAAAGCTACACGTAGGGTTTACCCAGACAATTCGGGCTGGCAACTTGTTGGTTCTATTTTAATAAGTTCCCTTTTTGATACGATGCATTTTCTATTTCTGTTTCCCCCAACTCTTCTTCAGTCTCTCATACTTCATTCTTCCCACTCTTCTTTTGTTTAATATTTTAAAATATTTCCCTTTACTGTTCCATAATAAAGAACACATGTCTATTGTACTAACTAATATGCTTATTGATGAGTTTTGTGTTTCTTATTCTCAATATTAAAAGTGGATATGCAAAAGATATTTATATTCTTTCCTAAATAGAATAAAACCCTCTAAATTATACTTCTTGCTTGTACGTAAATATAATCTCAAGTAATTTTTCATGCTTTGGCAAGTGGCTCTCAGTTGAGAGTGATTTCACAATCCCCTCTCCTCCGGGGCATTTGGCAATGTCTGGAGACATTTTTCATTGTCACGGTTTGGAAGGGGGATGCTATTCATTAAGGGTAGGAGCCAGAGATGCTGTTAAGCATCCTACAATGCACAGAACAGCCCCATGACAAAGAATGATCCAGTCCCAAGTGTCAACACAGCTGAGGTTGAGAAACCTGTCTTACGGCCATGACAGTGAGAAAAATAAACCAGGTGGCAAACACTACCTTTATGGTAGAATTTAGACACATAATTGCTCAGGCTGGGTTACATCCTGGCCCCACCATCTACTACTTGTGAGACTTTGGACATGCTATTTAACCTGCTGTGCCTCGGTTTCCTCATCTGTCATGGTTGTTATTAGGTTTAAATAAGCTCACATGTAGAAGGAACTCCGCAGAGTGCTGGGAACACTATATGCAGTCTGTTTTTTCCTTTACACTGACGGAGTGCGTGAATGTTAACAGGGAAACTGACCTGGAACGTATATGTTGTTTCGAGTAAAGACAAAATTACATAGCTTATTAAGGGGTAAATATCTTGTTTATATGATCCACGATTCTATATTTTAAACTCCAGAAACTCCTCAAATATATGTCAGAATTACTGCTGATATCGATTCCTTTTTTGAAGCCCTAAGATTTGCTTGTTGAAATTCATGATGCAATAAGCCTTTGGGACAGATTACGTATACTAATTCTAAAGAACATCTGGATATAACAGAAATGCTTAATAATGCAGGTTTTAAAAGGATTCTAGTTTGGTAATTATAGAGGAATTACAAAAAAAAAAAACACGTTAATTGGCCTCAGTCTTTTCTGCATAAATAGCACATTGCAACACTGTGCATCAGACTTGCAGAAACATACAAAAAAGCTTTTCTATAGGACTGCGAATGTCGTCAGCAGGCATTTGTTCACCATCTCAACACATCTTGTCATGCCCGCCCCTCCTACAATTCTTTCAGTGTTCAAAGCTCAGGCTAATGAGACCAACTTCAAGGGCTCAAACCACATGGCTGGTGTGATGGTCAGTTTTATAAGTCTACTGACTAGAGCAGAGACCCAGTTATCTAATCAAATACTAGGTGTGTCTGGGAAGGCATTTGGTAGATGTGGTCATACACACACACACATTGTTTCTTAAGGGAATGACAGATTCTGCTGCCCACAACAGCCCCTTGTTGATGACAGTGGCAGGCCAAGCTGCCTGGGGTTATGGCCCTGGGCATGTGATACGGTTTGGCTCCGTGTCCCCATCCAAATCTCATGTGGAACTGTAATCCCCAATGTTGGGGGAGGGGCCGGTGAGAGGTGACTGGACCATGGGGTGGATTTCCCCCTTGCTGTTCTCGTGACAGCAAGTGAATTCTCGTGAGATCTGGTTATTTAAAAGCGTGCAGCACCTCCCCCTTTACTCTCTCCTCCGGCCACGTAAAGATGTGTCTGCTTCCCCTACGTCTTCCGCCATGAGTGCAAGTTTCCTGAGGCCTCCCCAGCCATGCCTCCTGTACCGTGAGTTGATTAAACCCCTTTTCTTCATAAATTACCCAGTCTCAGGTAGCTCTTCATAGCAGTGTGAGAATAGACTAAAGCAGCTTGACATCAATGCTGTGTAAGGACTCTGCCTCCTGCCCCCTGAGAACAACGGCTTGTTCCTTAAAAGGCTCCCAGAGGCACAGACTCCCTTAACACTGCCAGGGCAACAAGGGGAAGGAGAGAGGGAAAGGAAGGGCACTGAGGAGGGCTTCTAAGGGCCTAACTCTGCATTGCGACGAATGTGCACAGAAAGAGGAAGGAAGAAATGAGGACAGACAGCAAAAGGAAAAACTAGAAATTCTGTGTTCACCCTTCAGCCCGGTCCCCATGAGAAAAAATGTCAAATTGTACATCACTTCTATGAGAAAATCACAGCAGAATAATGCTAATGAGTGAACATTTACCTATTGATTACTCATGTAGAAAGCATTCGATAAGTGTTAACTAATATTTCACATTAAGGCCTGTGTGCCAGGTACTATAGGAAGGGATGCACAGTAAATGATGGAGTGCGCTGTCTGAATTCAGAGAGTTTTATCTTAAATAACATGCCATTTTATCTCCAAATAACCACAGTACAATCCTAATTATCTATGAGAAGGCCTGCACTCTCTGGCTTCTTCCATTTCCACCCAGTATCTAATCATAGTTGGTCTGGACAAGGGGAAAAACAGTGTGTGTGCTTGGGCATAACCACAGGGTAGCGTAATCTCATTTTTTGATTGCTCAGGATTACTCTAGAAAGAATTATTGGCACCTCTTCTTTTCTTCAATAATCATATTTACTATGTTGACTAGGGACACCATAGGTCCCTCCTCTGCTCTTTGTAAAGAATCGGGGACAAACAAGTGACATATTGGAATTCAAATGAGGCTCCATCTGTTCCTGAAGCCATACGGTCCATGTGTTACACTGCCCCCGCAGGATGGCTCTTGTCTCTGAGAAGGTTATTCTATTTGGCCACAATTTCTGATCCATCCAAACTCATAAACACAGATACCCTCTATTGCCTCATTTTAGAATGGCAGATCCCAATCACACTTTGCATTTTGGCTGGAGCTAAAACAACACATTTCAGCCTGGGGTCACTGCAAAGCTGGGCCAGCCTGTGATCCTTTCCATCAGAGCAACAGGCAGAACGACAGCTTCCTGCAAATGCATCATCTTGCTCTCTAGCCTGCCACCACGATTACAGCTCAGCCGAGGAAGTCATCATGAGCCGTGCGGTGTTGCAAAGGAAATCTTGTCCCATTGATCAACTCAGGTTCCTCTGCAATATTGATCCTCCAGGTCCTTTCTGGAGAAAATGAGCTGGCAGGGGAGTGGGGATTGGAGGCTGTTCAAGAGAGACTTAATTCTGTACCTAATCAGATAAGGTGAAGGTTAAGAAGCCATTAATGAAAAATGACAATTTTCTCTGGGACTGGATTAATGAGCTCTACAGTCCCAAGAGAGAGGTTAAAGTACCAGAAGAAAAGGAAATTACAGGAACCAATTTACCTTTTTTTTCAGTCTTATTTTTATTCAAAGAGCACTTGAGGTTAAAAATAGAACCTAGAAGTAAGAAAGTCATTTGTAAAAACCAGGAGAAATGGTTTTCTGTTCTTTAATTAGTTACTTCTGGTTTTCAAGGCTGTCATCCAAATTTCCCCACCATGAGCTCTATCTGCGATGTCCCAGGAACTCTCCTGCAATACAGAGCCTCTGTCTTCTTCAGCAGGGCTTCTCAAACTCTAATGTGCATTTGCATCATTGCAACTTGTTACAATGCAGATTCCTAGATCTGGAGAGAGGAGCCTGAGATTCCCCACTTGTAGCAATTCCAGGGTGATGCTGAGGCTGACTTCAAAAGATAGGGGTAGGTAAATTACTGTGGCCCAACTAGGGCCAGGTCCTGCTCTCAGCTCTTAAGATACATTGGCTCTCTTCATTCTCTAACCAGTGCAAGAGGAAGTCCCATTTCACAGACAATTAACTGTACTTTGACAACCATTCACCCGTAATTCTTTTCCCATTTCCAGTGTTCTTGGATATGCCAATGTTCACATTAGATGTGTGAACTTTGATATGCCAAGTAGGATGCCAGTAAGAAAGATGCTTACTAAAGGCCACTATAAGCCATTTAAGACTTATCATAAGTGTTCCTCCTCCAGGAAGTCTACCTGACCCGGGAACCTGGACAAGGTGGCTCTCATATATACACCCAATACACACTCCTGCATGCCTATATGTCAGGCTGTAGGTACTGGTTATCTATTGCTCATAACCAAAATATGATGGCCCAAAATAACAAAAACACTTATTATCTCCGACAGTTTCTGAAGGTGGAGAATTCAGGACTGACATGGCTGAGTGGTTCTGGCTTGGGGTCTCTGGGGATGTCGCAGTCAAGATGTCAGCTGGGGCTTGCCTGAGGCTGGCAAGGTGGTGCTGGCTATTGGCTGTAGATCTCAATTCCTCTTCTCATGGGCCCGTCTGAGTGATGCCTGAATGTCTTCATGCTTGAATGTCATGGTAGTTGGCTTCCTCTGGATGACAGAGGACAGAGGGGAAAAGAGAGAGGAAACCAGGCAGAAGCTATGGCCTCACCTTGAAAGTTACAAAGCACCATTTATGTCACTTAGTTGAAGAGAAGAGAGTTACTAGCCCGCACTCAGGAGTTAGGGAAATGGGGTTTCACTTTTTTCAGGGAAGACTGTCAAAGACATATTTAAAAATTACCATCTATAACAGACTGTATTTTCCAAAGATGGCTACAATAATATTGTATATCCCGCAGGCTCTTCTAGAATGTAAGTCATTCCCCCATCGAGAGGTAAAATGGAATTTCCCCTTTCTTGATCTAAGAGGGCTACTAACTTGCTTGTAACCAGGATAATGTGGCAGAAAAAATGCATGACTCTCAAGGCCAGGTCATAACCTTATGCCCCGTGAATGGGGACACTGACTTTTGGAGCCCTAAACTACCAGCTAAGAAATGCTACTGCCTTGAAGCTGTCTGCCATGGGGAAGCCTGGGCTATATGGATAGGTTACTCCAGTTGACAGCCCCAGTTGAGGTCCCAGCCAACAGCCAACATCAACCTCCAGGCTTGTGAGTAAAGATACCAGCCCTTGATTTCTGCCCCCTACTCTCGAGTCTCCCCACTGGGAACCAGGCATCCTGGAGCACAGCCTAGCTGTTACCACTGGGCTCTGTTCAGAATCCTGACCCAACGAATCCATGGGCACAATGAAATGATTATTTTAAGCCTGTAATTCATGGGGTCATTTGTTCCTCAGCATTTAGTAACTGGAATATATCCTGCATTATCATTGTCTGTTATAGTCTCTCTCTCTCCCATTAGGTTGTCGGATTGTAAGTCTTCTAGGGCCTAGGGCTGTGTCTTACTCATTGCTATAAAGCCAGCACCCAGCATAATGCTTAGTATGTAACCCATGCTCAACAAGTGTTCGTTAAATGAATAATGAATCAATAAAAGTGCTTGGAATTTTGTGGGAGAGTGTTCTTTTTCTTTCTTTTTTTTTTTTTTTTTTTTTTTTGAGACAGAGTTTCACTCTTGTTTTTCAGGTTGGAGTGCAATGGCGTGATCTCAGGTCACTGCAACCTCCACCTCCTGGGTTCAAGCGATTCTCCTGCCCCGGCCCCCCAAGAAGCTGGGATTACAGGCGCCTGCCACCAAGCCCAGCTAATTTTTGTATTTTTGTATTTTTAGTAGAGACGGGGGTTTCACCGTGTTGACCAGGCTGGTCTCCAACTCCTGACCTCAAGTAATCCGCCCACCTCAACCTCCCAAAGTGCTGGGATTACAGGCATGAGCCACAGCGCCCGGCTGGTGCTGGGATTACAGGTGTGAGCCACAGCGCCTGGCTGGGAGAGTTTTCTTTGTCTGGAATTTATGAGACCCCACTGGTTTGAAGTCCTCTTGTTGAGCTATCACCATCTACCTGTCCAGGTCAGTATTATATGCCATTTCTCCACCCCTTGTAGAGTTTTTGTTGGTTGGTTGGTTTTAGTTTCCCCCTGCCCTTCATTTGACCCTCTAAATTCACATTGAAAGCATTCAATCAGGGACTCTTTATGATGCTACACAGACTTGCATACCATTAACATAAATAAACAGTAGTAATAATCATAAAAATAGTTGTGACCTTGAAGCCAAAGCCACTCATGATTAATGTTGATTCTAGGTTGTTAAATGTTTAAAAACAATTTCAGACTCTTGAGTTGACTTTACCTTCTCAAGACTAAACACATACTCAGGAATGTGTGCTTAAAAAAACTTAAATTTTTCTCAGTTGCATTTAGAGAAGATGAATGCATTTAAACTTCTCATTAGTAAGTGTACATAAAAGGGATTTGTGTGTTTATTAATAATTTTGTCTATCTTTCTATATAAAGGTAGTGTATATGTTAAATATGTCTGAAATTTGAGGAGATGATCTCTAAGTTGGCCCGAATACATTTTCAATCACTGCATTCTCAAAATTTCTTTCAAACTGAACCAGTGCCTTATTGTTTTATTGGATTTAATAGCGATGCATGTCTCCAATTTAATACTTACATAACCAATTTTATCACCAGTTCCAACCTTAAAGGTAAATACTTCAGTTACTATTTAGTACCCCCTCCAAAATTCTCCCTTTCCAGCTATATTTATCCTTCAGCTGAAGACAATTATCTAGAAACAGCACTGGATTCTTATTATCTCATGATGAAGTTTAACTCTCCCAAATTTTACAAATGTTAATTAAATCTCAAAAGGCAAACAAAATGTCAATCAAAATTGATGTATGGTTGTTTGTCATCAGCAGCTGTTAAAAAAAAATGTTCCCTAAATTCACAGAATATGAGTGCTACAGTGCCAAGCAGAGAGGATACAGACCACGGTGGGGCTGATCAAAGAGGCAGGAGCTTTTTCCCCAGAGTGAAACACATATTTTCAGTGAAGTTATTCCCTTTTCTCCATTGTGCTACTTTGTAATGATTATAGAGTCAGCTATAAGAAGAATTTCAATTGTGGTTAAGAAAAAAGAGTCACCTCCAAATTAGAATGATCAGCAGTTTTTTACAATAAACCGGGTATGAACAACGACATGACGCTGTTGATGAAAAGACACTGGACAGAAACCAGGAAGGAAGCCAGCCTCAGCCTCACCACTGGGGACTGGGCAAAGGAGTCTGAGTGTCGATCTGCAGGCACTCTGTGCTGGAAGGGACGTTTGGGAAGCACAGCAACGCCGTTTTGCTCAGAGTCAAAACACATCATGATTCTCTGGCACGACTGATCCTAAAATGTGTATCTTCCGCCTCTCGTCCACCTGATCTCCCTCCTGGCTGCCCCACCACAGAGAGTGGGCATGCACATCCCACTGACCAGAGGGCCTTGTGCCAAGCCACTCTCCAGGCATGGTCAAAGAAACTCAAGCAGTGGAGCCAAATGGTGAGAACCAACCCAAAGAGGACACAGGGCATTCTTAAGGCTCCTTTCTCCTCTATGTCCTGTGGGGGAGGTTAGAGTGTTCCTTTCCTGCACTGATGCTGAACGATAACTCAGGCACTATCAAGAATGACCAAGAGGGACACTGAAAGGTCAAAAGCCTGAAAGAGCAGCTCTCCCCAGCCAGAGAGAGCAGAGGCACATTTACAGCACATCTCATGGGGAAACTTAAAATCCACTTACTTGGTTTCTACTCAGGATGTCACCAATTACCATGGAACATCAACTAGATAAATACCTAGTTTTAAAGCAAGAAGCAATCGCACTTTCAGGGGGAAAAGCAGTATACAACTTCCCACTGGAAGATCACAAAATATCAAAACACCAAGTTGAAACAGATCAGAAGAAAAAAGCCACAGAAAGGTTGAAATTACAATAATAATAATAATAATAATAATAACAACAAACATGCCAACATAAAACCTTTTATTCTTTTTTGATCTTCTTTTCAGAGTTGTTTCTTTTAAAACAGGAAATTAAAATAGTTCTTCTAGATTTCCAGTTCTGGGATAAGATAGAGTAGGCACACTTCTTCCTATTCCATCAAGCATGGCTAAAAACCCTGGACACTACATATAAAATAAACGTAAGAGACTCTGAAAGGTGGAGAGAAGAAGGCAGACCAGCTAGGGCACACCTCGGGATCTGAGGAACGACATGGTGGTGAACTCTTTGTACTCGTATGTTTTTTCAAGCCCGTGCGATGTAGACAAAAAAAGCCCCAAGAAAAGCCTGCTCCCTCCAGCTAAAGGATCAGGGAAGTGGCAGCCTAGCAAGACCGAAAACCTCTAGACAGTAACTGCCCTACACCAACCGAACTCATGGAAAAACTGTGGCCCTACCCCAACCCCCCATCAGCAAAGGTTGGGGTGGGGGGCTGTAATTTCACATCCTCTACCTGCTGGGTGACCGATGTCATAGAAGGCTAAGTGGGGAGCTGGAACCTCCATCATTCTCCAGTGATAATGAGACCACCCTTTTCCTCAACACAATAAAGCACTCCCTCCCCTCCCAGCCAGCACACCATCCTGGAGACCTGGTGGGAAATCTGAACTCCCACCTTTGCACAGCAGTAATGAGACACCCTTCTCCCATCCAGGTGTCACTGGGGGCAGAGTGGGGAACCTGGACTTCTACCCTTACCTGGCAATAATAAGGTGGCATCCCTTGACCCAGTGACACAGTATCAGAGAAAATCTGTTAAAACAAGTTTAAGTAAGACCTACCGTCTAATAACATAATTCTCCAAATGTCCAAGATACAATTGAAAAATCACTTGACATGCCAAGGACCAGGAAAATCACAACTTGAAAGAGAAAAAGACAATTGACACATGCCAACCCTGGGATGACACAGACATGGAAGATATTTAAGAAGAATTTTTAAATGGCCATCATAAAACTCTTTCAATAAGCAATTATAAACAAACTTGAAACAAATAAAAAAAAAGTCTTCACAAACAAAAAAAGGTTTTCAAAAAAAGAACCAAGTGGAAAAGTAATTGGTCAAAATAAGACACTCAATGGATGAGCTCAGCAGAAGAGTGAAGGAGGCAGAGGAAAGAACCAGTGAACTCAAAGGCAGAACAGTAGAAATCAGCTCATCTGGACAACAGAGAAAATAGGCTGAAAAATAGTCCTTTCAGTTATCTAATGGAATATTCCATGGACTTCCTGGTTTCCTTGAAAGTATAAAGCTACTGGCTAGGGACTTTTTCCAATGCAGATAAGAATTTAAGAGTCTTATGTTTCTACCAAATCTTTGTAGACAGTGTTATCTCTCTTTTGCAAAGAAGTGTGGACAATCAATTAGTGATTCCAGAAATCCTCTGGAAGTAAAATTGCTAAATGTCTTTAACTGCTTAAAAGTAGTAATGAAATCAGTCATTGAAGATATAAGAGCTCCTCTCGCTCCTAAATGCTCTTTTTGTATCCCTCTTCTCTCCAGTGAGTACCAGTGCCCTGCCTAACACAAAGACAGGATCCGTGAGAAAACAAAACTCCTGGGTTACGTGATCAGTCTCCAGGCTTTTTTGGGTACCAATTACCATGCAGCACGCTGGGCCATGCTGTGAAGATGCTATAAAGCTGGGTGAACACATTTAGTAAGAAGATAAAACAAGTGTAGTGCAAGGAATTTATGCTTTCAAAAAATATTTATCAGTGCCTGCAAGGTACAAAGCACTGCTCTCTATAGCTGGAGCCCTAGACAGAGATCCCTCCAACAAGCTCCACTTCCAGTGAATGGGGACCTGCGGAGGCGGAGAGAGATGACAGTAAACCACCGCCATAAAAAGTAAATGAATTAGTATGTTAGAAAGCGATATTCCTTTGATAATAGAAGGAAAGGTAGAATAGTAGAGGGGAAATGGGGATGGAGTGGAGGTTGGATATGGGGCAAGGAACATGAATTCACTGAGAGCAAGATTCAGTGACCCAGTGTTAGGGAAAGAGAAGTCCTAGGAGGAGGAGTTGCAGGGGAGAGAGGGATTCTGAGCAGCAGGTTGAGTGGGTGGGGACAGGAGTGTGGCCCCAGCCAGGAGTGGAAAACAGCCTGAAGCTTGAGTAGGAGCCCAAGGCTTAGCAAGACGGATGCAGATCATTCAAGGCATGCCTTGAAGACCTTTATCTTGGATATTCTTATGAGAGGTAGAACAATGAGAGCTGAGAGAGATGGTAATAACCCTTTCCTAGGCTTCATTATTAATATTTCCTCCACCTCACAATCCTGTTAGTCTTGTTCAAAACAAGGCTAGGCTGAGTTCCAATTCTAATAAGAAAAAAACTGAACTGTCAGAAAAACAGATTTTCTGAAAATCAAGTATATATTTTACATTTCAGTCTCCTTTTTTATATGAACGTTAGCTACCAAGACAAGCACTGTTACTAAAAGTAAGCTACTCAGTATTCAGAGACTCTCTCCAGATGCGCCCTCTGTGGAACTTCCCTAACAATGTGCTCTTGTACATTTATCATCTTTCTGGCTTTGGCAAGATCTCCCTTTTGTTCCCACCTTGAAGGCTTCTTGTTCTTAACAGCTCAATTAAACTCATGTACACACTTATGTATACAAATGCACGCACACACACCCACCCCCAACATCTGCAGGTTTAAGCATTTTTTTTTTCCATAATGTTCACAAAGTTTAAGACAAAACCCAATAACGCATATGATAACCACTGTCTCCTTAGGTCAAATTTGAATTCACTTAAAACAACGATAGCAAAAAAATACTTGCAATGAACAACTTGGTTAAAAAAAGGTAACTATCATTCATCACTTAGATCTTCAAGATTCACAGCAACAGAAAAACAATTCAGAAAAAAGAAATGCAAAAGAAGTCTATGTGTTCAAAAGAAAACTATTTGGTGCTGATTTATTTAAATAAAAAATTATTTCCCAAGTATTTACATAAGGCACAATAAAATTTGATTTGAAGTCTATCAATTCATAATTTGTAACAATTCAAGCCGAAGGCCAGGATGAAATGCACAGCTGCCTAACAGGAAAAAAATCATTAATAATCAGGTGAAACAATGTAATCAGAACTACCATTGGGGAACACAAGCAAACCCACACCAGAAAGAGTCCCTAAAACGGCAATCATGACCTTGTGTTAATTACTGGGGAAGAAAACGCACATCGAACAGGAAAGGCTGACTTTCAAGGAAAAAAAAGTGTAAACCAAATGAAAGAAGTTGGGTTGCCCATAAATCAGCTTGAAACCTGGTGATAAGTGGGCAGACATCACTTTGGTGCTAGAATGAGGCATTCCTCATCGAAGTGGAACTTTGATGAGTGACATGAGTTCCCCCACTCCAGCACCCTCTGGAGAAGAGCTGAGCAGAAAGCCACAATGAGGAATCCCAAAGGCTTGCTTGGAGGTGATGGCTGCTTTCTTCTCTACTGGGCTTGAATTAATCCATGGGCACCTATCAATTTCACCAACAGCTGTGACACTGTATGAGCCATGGAGCTGGATAAAAGGGCTTCATTACCACTCCTCTATGAGGAAAGCCTTGCCAAGCTGCTAGAAAATTTTTTGCAAATTTAGCTGTAAAATACGTTGATTGTTCTAACAAAGCCAGAAAGAGAAGGGAACTTTTCTGTTCCCTTTGTTGCTGATCCTGATACTCTGTTCCACAGCCTTGGGCATAATGAGGAGTTGGGACCAGTAGAACAGGGGGACTCTGAAAGCACAGACCAGGAGAGACCTGAATTGAGCATGTTCATAGCATGTTCATAGCAAGACTCCATGTCAGACCCGAACAGGCTCCTCGAGGGTCAGACAGGCAAAGCCTTCGATTTTCCCATGGAGATATAAGCCCCAAAAGAGCACGGAATGGGTCCTCATTTGTCTGTCCAGCTTTCGGAACAGTATGTACCTTAAGCAGGTGTTCAACCGACGTTTGTTGAATAAATGAATTAAGTCAATCAAGGCATAAATAGATGATTGGTCAGAGACCAGGCAGGATGTGATGAAGAACAGAAATATCAGGAGGTGAAACAGGGCACTGGTATGTTCACACCACAGAGACATAGATAGCCAAGACCCCTTTGTTTCGTTTTGTTTTGTTTTGTTTTGACTAAAATAGTTGCAACAGAGGTTATTCTTGGATTTTTAAGGAAGAGTATGGTTTAGACACTTAGGAACGTCTCTGTTTAAAAAAAATTTTTTTAAGTGCACTGTAAAAGCGTCTAACCTCATAATAATTCTCCCTTTTTGAAGACCCAGGATTCAGTGTAGGTTTTGCCCAGAGTTCAGAGATCCAGTTAAAAGATAGGAAGTCCCTATCTAAATAAACCTGGTCTCCTTATACAATCCTATGATAGATTTCTATGATTTTACATTTGATTTGGCATCCATCTTTAATTTCCCTCTAGTACCACCAGACTTTTTCTCTCTGTACTTTATAATGTAAATTTTGCTATTTGATTTACACCTTAGTTGTTTCCTTTAATATGCAAATTTAAGGCTATTTAGCTGACAGCTGCCTAGGATTGTGAAACAGATTATCAAGAATCTGAAAGTCTGAGACAGGATAAAACAAAAAAGGTTTTTATGAATCTATAAGATGTACTTCTATCGGCATGCCTAATATGTCTATGTATTTATGTGTTGTGTACACAATGTTTCACTACTGAAAATATATAAAGAGTTCCAATTAATTAGTTTAAGAAAACTAAAGCACTTGAATCAAATACTTTATCAGGAAAAAGGAAGAGACTAGTCAAATGCTTTTTCAAGTTTATGTAACTTAACTAATATATTTAATAAATAAGCTAGCTTTAAAATTATTGGTAAAGTAGTATTAGAAATGTCTTAAAAATTGCCAGCATATATTTTTGTTTGCATTTATTAATCAAGCAATTTCATACTTATCCCTGCCAAATACTATAAGGTGTCAAAAATTTGGCATAGGGGTTACAAAACTATAAACCCAGCCCAAATCAGAATGATCTTTTCTTGTGTACTCTTTAACAAATAAGACATTAATATTGGTTAAATAAAAATAGCTACATCTCAAATTTAGTAAGATTACTGTAACTTCTAATCTTGTGGCTTTAGGCAGTCTAGCCCACAGGCAGTAAAATTTGTTATCATCTTTGTTTCAAAACTAAACTATAAACTAAGTTCCTCCAAAAGTTAATTTGGCCTATGCCCAGGAATGAGCAAGGACAGCTTGGAGGTAAAAAGCAAGATGGAGTCAGTTACGTCAAATCTTTTTCACGGTCTCAGTTATAATTTTCCAACAGTGGTACCATAACTTTAAATGGTGACTATCACAGTTTCCATAAATAATCTAGCTAAACAAATAAAATACTTAGGTAAATGTTATAGGATAAATACTTGTAGACAAACTCATCATAATTTAGAATCTAAAGTTATATTAAATTAAATAATAGATATTTCATTATTTGGGTATTTGCCAATAGAAAACATTCTCTCCAAAAACAAAGTGTGTCCTTTTAAAAAAGAAGATGAACAATTTTTGTCTAATTCAAAGCTTATTTAAAAGTCATGTATAAAACAAGGTAAAAGGAATGAGGAAATAAAAGAGATGTAAAGAAAGTTATAAAAATACAGAGGTTTCTTTGGCAAGAAAGCTTAAAGAGAAATAATTTCATATGAGAAAAAAATCTTGTATGGTAAATTTAGTCCTAGAGTAAAATGACTGGTTATTTAAGAAAGAGGGACGTTCAGGACAAACTAGAAAGTCCAAGCATGTCATGAACAGTCTGTGTAAGTCATAAAAAGAGATTTTTAAAAAAAACGTTTATATGATCAAGTTGTCATATTATTATTAAGTTTGGTTTACTTAGGAAAAAACTGAAATTAATTTTTTTAATTAAGGTTATTTCATCTGTATATCTCTCTGCATGCACTTTTAAAGTACTTGTGACACTGAGTTACAGGATTTTGAGTCCTGGGTCTAAAAATGACACCAAATCCTACTAAATTTTAAACACTGACAGCAATTAAAGCCCCATCTTCAGGTCCTGTAGAAGATGCCAATCAAAATAAACTACATTCCTGAGACACAGGGCCAGAAATTAAAGCCATTTCAACTCAAGGCCCAGAGAGTATTGTGGAAGAGGTGGGTGCATGAGATTGTAAAGGTCGATTTTGAAAGATAAAATAAGTTCAGTTTCTCTATAAATTAATCATTAATGTTGAAGGGCACACTGATGCAAGACTAGCATATGGGCCCCTGTGTCAAATTAACAAAGTTTTCTTGAAGCATTAACTGACTCCTCAGTAAATGTTATAAAGGTTATAAAAGGCTTATGGAAGCTGTATCTTATGGTCAAGATTAAAATTTTATAGATTGTTTACAAAATTTTGAAAAACAAATTTAAATGACTTTGTGCTATTTTTATTAGGGCTTATTGTTTGGAACATTAAGTCTCCTCTCTCAAAGAATGAAGATGTTTGCCTTTTTTGAAATCCTTGAGTTATCACTTTAGTTAAATGAATGACCCTATTTTATGATATCAATAGTATTAAACCTTTGTTATTTGACAAACTTGCCAAAATCAAATTATAAATTATGTCTTTTTCTTACCTAATTAATCCTTTAAGACATTAGATTCCCTAAAGTCCAAAAGTGACATAATTTGGCTTATCTGGTATAAAAATTATACAGGAAACATTGTCAAATACGAAATGGTGTTTGGTTTCCTTTAGGTTGTATTTGTATAAATATGTTATTGGTATGTGTTCCAAAATCAGGGTAAACTCCTGTAATTCTAATATGACTTAATGTACATTTTCAGTGATAATTATAATTTTTATGTTAAATTGTTAGTGTGCCACAAGGTAACAAATTTCCTTGTCAATTGTGTCTTTCACTATGGCTACCCTAATACATTTTGTCATCCATGGACAATTGTCTTGTTTTGGTCCTCCTTAGAAGGTGGTTTTATAATCAGCTATAGAACTCTAACAGGTGTTCTTAAATGCAGGTTTCTGATAACTAACTTATAACAATACAGTTATTTGCATAAGTGCAGTAAGAATCAATTTTCACTGTAACAGGCCACAATCAGAGAAACTGTTTATTTTACCAAGACTTTGACTGTAATGGTGTGCTTTCCTTTAAGGAATCAAACTTGACTTATGAAGCCAATAAAAACCCCTTGGAAAAAACTGGCCTCATACCTTTGTCTACACAGCCCCTGCACAGGGTTCCTGACCTGTGGTAGGTAAACAATGTCACTTTCTGGCAGGTCCAGGAGCCTCAAGTTTATCTTGGAACCTCAAGAGGAGCTGATCACCCAACTCATAGGTATTTGATGGCACAAATCCATGGCTGGGCTCGGCTTTAAAAAAGTCTTATCTGAGATTCCTCCTATGGAACACAGTTCCATCAAAGCCAATTTAAAAGCCTTTGTAAAAATAATTATTCTTGCTGCACTGTATACAAATAATTAGGCCAAGTATAATAAAGCAAACCAGTCCTACCATGATTTGTCTTTAGTAAAAATGGGAAACTGAAGAGAGAATAATTATGCTTCAAAACTATAGTACACCTGTTGTTAGATTCTAGTTTTATCTTACATTTTTCAATTTTTATTATTTTCTACAGTTTGGACTGAATTCTAAGTTTTCTGGGCTACAAGTCTTCAAAATAATGTTTTCAATTTTTTGTTCCTTCCTTTTTTTCCCAATTTTTCCTAATTTGGAGTCACTGAAAACTAAGCTGTGCTTTTGTAAAGCCCTGTGAACTGAAGCCAGACAACTTAAACTTCAAAAGAAAATGACAACAATCTATTTACATACATAAGCCACTTTCATACCTGCCTACTGATGTATGGGCTTCAGAGTAATGTGGCCTATATTGATTTTTCCAGGATTGTTCTTTTGCTTGTTGTTGTTTGTCTTCCTTCCTCTATTTTCTCTTCATAGAATAACCTTATAAAAATGAGTTTTCCTAATAACTTAGATCCTACCTGTCTAGGAATAAGCCATCCTAGTCATGAGAGATCAGACAAAACCTGGGAACAGAGACTCATCTTCTTCTAAAATGCTTTCTCCAAAAAAATTTTTTAAAGTGGGGGTGGGGGTGTTGGGGAATGTGAAAGGAAAATATCTTAGGCCCCCAAAATCACTTAAAGGGAAAATTCAAGCTGGGAACTGTTTAGGGCAAACGTGCCACCCATTCTATTCAAAGGCATCCCTCTGCTCACTGAGATAAATGCATATCTTACTGCCTCCTTTGGAGAGGCTCATCAGAAACTCAAAAGAATGCTACCATTTGTCTCTCACCTACCTGTGACCTGGAAGCCCCTCTCCTTCGAGTTGTCCTGCCTTTCCAGACCAAACCAATGTTCATGTTACATCTGTTGATTGATGTCTCGTGTCTCTCTAAAATGTATAAAACCAAGCTGTGCTTTGACCACCTGGGCACATGTTGTCAGGACCTCCTGAGGCTGTGTCACAGGCACACATCCTCAACCTTGACAAAATAAACTTTCTAAATTTACTGAGGCCTGTCTCAAATTTTGGGGGTTTCAGAAGCCTGTTGCTCCTAGGCTGCTCACCTGTACAGCATGTGACTGTACTGAATACTGTAGGTCACTGTAACACAATGGTAACTATTTGTGTATCTAAACATAGGGCTGGGCATGGTGGCTCATGCCTGTAATCCCAGCCCTTTGGGAGGTCAAGGCAGGCGGATCAATTGAAGTCAGGAGTTCGAGACCAGCCTAGCCAACATGGTGAAACCCCGTCTCTACTAAAAGATACAAAAAAATTAGCTGGGCATGGTGGCACACACCTGTAGTCCCAGCTACTCGGGAGGCTGAGGCAGGAGAATCACTTGAACCCAGGAGGCAAAGGTTGCAGTGAGCCGAGATCGTGCCACTGCACTCTAGCCTGGGTGACAGAGGAAGACTCCGTCTCAAAATAAATAAATAAATAAATAATAAAATAAACATAGAAAAGGCACAGCAAAAATACTGTATTACAATCTTAGCAGACACCGTTGTAAATGTGGTCTACTGCCTGAAAAGTCATTATGGGGCACGTGACTATATTTCAAAACTATCTACGTTGACCTCCAAACCTGTTCTGCTGGCCTGCCTTAGATAAGACTGAGACAAAGGCAACAGGCCCATCTGCAGTTTCAAAAAATCAGACCATATCCAGCTTCATACTAACAATTTTTTCTTTGGTAGGACTACAAGCTATGTTTTTTATGTGACATTTTAAATACTTATTTAAATACCCCATAGAGACTGTCTAGATGCTTCACATTTCTATAGGCTTGAGTACAATTTTAATACTATTACAAGAGTCTTCACAATTTGGCAAGCTACATTAATGACCCTATTTAACTTATGATCCTACTCTTCCATAACTCATACACTGCATGTGTTGTAATCTGTTGCCTAGTTAGCAAATGTTTCTGTAGAATTAAGCTTCCCCGTATCTGTGGGTTGAAAATGTTTACACATCCCAGCGGACATATTTGTGCTGAATCTCAAGGTTTTTGAGGCCATGGCTCATTCCTTCTCTGCCATTTCCCATACTCTTGGATTTACAAAACATACGCATATACCCAGCAAACACAGACTGACAGTGACTCACCCTGATCTCATGCTCGGTAATCAGGTTCAGATATCCTGGTCCTTCAGCATGAGTGTGGTTCTCAGGTCTGTCTCTCTGGCACACATTACAGGCAAAACCCATATTTTAAATGTATAACAAGCTCTTTTTGAACCTAAAACATTCTAGTCTTTATATTCTGAAGCCTAGCACATGCTTGAAACACTGATATCCTTGCAGTGGCTGAGGGGTATATCTGCTTGAACCACACAGTAGAATAACCTCCCTTACCATAAAAAAAAAAAAAAAGAAAACACAAAAACACAAGATCCAAGTTTCCTGTTGATAGCTCAAACTCTAAAAGTCCTACCAGCCACCAACCCATTGTAATTTCTCCTTTTTAGGTAGATATACCCATTATTTTATTCGTAATACAGCATTACCTTTCAAACTATACATCAAATTGAGTAGAGCAGACATAGTCAAGTTTATCTATGCCGGCAAGCAAAACTCTTCGCATGCACCCTGCCATGAAGGGCTATCAAACCTCCTCTGCCCCTAGAGCTGGAAAGCTGTCCAGGCTCACACATACTTGCCTCTCTTAACCGCACCATGTCCAGTTGACGAGGATTAAAGAAAACAAACAAAAAATACCTTTCAGCTAAAGCCAGATTTGTGAGGCTGCCAAGAGCACTTTTCCCTCCTGCCTTGACAAGGCTTCTTCATAGTCTGACAAAGGAGACTAACACTCTTAGACACAAATACAAGTTGGAGATGTCTCTGAAAGGGTTCTGAACCCACGTTGGGGTTGGGTGGGAATAACTCAATGGATGACTGAAGCAAAGGGTCAATGCTTTCAGGGCTCTCAGAGTAAAGCCATGAAACAGAATAGGCAACAGCAGCCCCAGTCTCTTCTGTCCTCAAGCAAACGTCTGCAACAAGTGCGTCTCTTGTCCAGGATGACAGACAACCTCTGCAACTGCCTTCTACAATCTTCAGGCTCACTCTCCTCAGGACAGTGAAACGCTTCCGGGCAATCGTTCTTTCCTCATTCTTTCCCAACTTCCTCCCTGGGCTCCACTGTGGAAACCAAAATGCTGGGGCAGCATCAGCCCCGACGCCCCAGGCCCCACCCCAGCACTCTCTTAATTCAGATGATTTTCCCCAGTGTCCGTTTTCACACTGCTGCTGAAGACATGCCCGAAACGAAACCAAAAAAGGTTTAAAAGGTTTAATTGGACTTACAGTTCCACATGGCTGAGGAGTTCTCACAATCATGGTGGGAGGCGAAAGGCTCTTCTTAAGCAGCGACAGCAAGAGAAAATGAGAAAGAAGCAAAAGCGGAGACCCCTGATAAACCCATCAGATCTCGTGAGACTTACTATCACGAGACTAGCACGAGAAAAACTGGCCCTCATGATTCAACTACCTCCTCTTAGGTCCCTCCCACAATACGTGGGAATTCTGGGAGATACAATTCAAGTTGAGATTTCGGTGGGGACACAGCCAAACCTATCACCCAGTAATCCCTGCTTCTGTCTTAATTTGACTTTCCCCTCACACGTGGCTCTGATTCACCTTTGCTCACCTGCTGATGCGGTTCTCATGTTACACGTGTTCTTCACCTTCAGGCTTTCCTGTCCTTGTCAATTTCCGTTTAGGTGTTTTATCATTAGGGCCTGACTCCGCGTTTCAGCAATGAAAGATGAGCAGACAGTGGAGAAGGCAAGCCAGGGGAGGGGCGGAGTGAGCACAGGCGTGGGGACGCGAAAGGACAGGGGAACACCGGAGAACTCGGTCATCCGCTTGGGAGCCAGGGACATGCTGAGCTGGAAAACCTAGCCTTGGGTCAGAACTGGGCTCCCATCAATGCCTGGTACATGGTAACAGAAGGTGCTCAATAGATGTCTACCAAGTTGAATGAAAGGGCATCTCACTGTTTGAGCGTGCTTTAAAAAGCCTTATGGTGTGTCAGATGGAGGACGCATTGGGAGAGGCTGTGGTGGAGACCTGTGTTAACAGCCTGTCACAACGTTGCAGGCGATATCCAAGCCCAAAAGACATGCTTCTCCCTGTGTGTCCCTGGGGGAGTCCATCAGGTGCATGGTAATCCAGTATGAAGGCATTGGCGTTATGCCTGCATTTTCTCTCACTAATCATGTTCAGCTCTAGTTGGAGACATAGGTATATATAATCTGTTCCTTTCCATTTAAAGAAATTGGCTACTGGTGTAGAAATTGTACATGAACAATCTCATTTATGAACATCATAATTACCCTGGTGAAAGGACTGGCTGGGAGAGGCATGGCATATTCAGAAATCCTCAAAGCCCTGGAATTGGATCAGGGAGTCCAGCCAGAAACCTCCTCCCCTGACCCCGCCTGCCCAGGCCACTGCCCTGGGACAGGACTCACAGGCAGCACAGCTGGTGCCTCTGCTCCCGCGGGGCCCTGCACACACCAGCTCTGGGTTTGTTCTTGTTTGGATAACATGCAGAACTCACCATCACTAGACTGTGACTGGGTTGAAGGACAAGGTCTCTTCCTCATCTCCCAACTCACCTTGTAGCGTAGAGCATGTTCTATGTGATGCCTGCAAAGACCAATTGAACACGTATGCATTCACCGGGAATGCCCTGTGATGGCTGGTGTCTGTGTCTGATGAGTTGGTGCCTTGTTCTTCTGGCAAGAGAACCACATGCCCTGGGGTGGACATACAACCTGCACAAGATGACTGTAGCTCTCTACCCCCGTCCACAGTGACGGTGCCAATGGTGCTGTGCTGGAAAATGGTTAACAACCAGCTCTTGTGTGGCAGGGGAGGCAGTAGGTGGGAGGAAAAAAAGCCCTGATTTATAGTTCTGCCGATTTCTATGGTGCAAATATTCCCACAAATGTCAGTGCCAAGCTATCTATATGAAATCAATGAAGAAGAAGTTGGGAAGAGATTACCAAATTACCAGAGCTCCCTTTTAAAACATGCACGACTCCCTCTGCTGGCATGATGGTCTGACTAAGTGGGGAAATCACAGCAAGAATACCTTTACTTTACGTTTGTCTAGCACCTTACAATTTATTTCCCTCATCTTACAATTAAAAAACCAAACCCAGGTAAGTTGACTGTGTCACCAAGGTGGTTAGGCCACTGTTCAGAAGCCAAGACTCCAGGCTCCAAGTGCGTGTTACCATAACACCGGGGCAGGATCCTCCGCTCCACGGCCCTAGCACAGTGTATCCACATCAAATCTACTCAAAAACAGCCACTTGGAAGCTATAAAGGGAGCCATAAGGATGCTAGAAAATAACTGCTGTCCTCAACACTTTCCATATCATGTAACCATATACTCTGAGGTGGCAGAGGTGAAAAAACACTGTTATCTACCAAACAGTATGATAAAACACTGTATCTACCAAACAGTATGATAAAACACTGTATCTACCAAACAGTATGATAAAACACTGTATCTACCAAACAGTATGATAAAACACTGTATCTACCAAAGCGTTTCTAGGATTTTTCCTTCAAAACAGACTGTGGAATTGGAGAATACTTTTAATCTAATATTTTCCCTCCTTTCAGGAGAACCAGAATAGGACCAGAGAAGGGAGTTCTCAAAATGTTTGACAATGCCTCAGATCCCATCTGGGCCCAAGATAAACTGAAATAGAGAAAAATACAAAAATATTTTTTGCCATTAGGATTTCCTTGCTTTAGAGCTTGTTTTCATAAAACTATTTCCCCCTTACTTTAAGTGTGCTATATAAATTCTATCTCCAGTATGGTGAAACCAAAACCCATAGCTAAGGCAGTGGTCTTTCAATGTTTTTGATTCCTTAAAAAAAAAATTAAATATGCACCATTAGCATATACAACTTTTATATATGTAAAATTTGTATTTTATATAATTTAAAAAATATATAAAATGTCCTATCCAGACATTTATGATATGATAGAATATGATGGCATGATACGAGATGAGATAAAAGGAACATAAATAGAAGCTCTCAGGTTTGTTTTTTCTATACCCCAATGGCTTGTCTTGTTTACCTCCTGGAAATATCCACTGCACCATGAAGACCACACACGATCGCCTTATAACCTTACAAGACACCAAAGTCAAACTCACAACCTAATTTAAAAGCCGTAACTTAAGTCAGAAGTGAAATTTAATGCTTCCAAAAACAAATGGGCACTTTGCGAATTAATTTATTTATAAACCATATGAATAGCTAAGACAACTTGACTTAAGCCAAGCATCCATTCATACAATTCAGTATCACATGTGTATTCCTAAACTTGCTGATTCTTTAGGGCCACCTGTTTGAAATTTAGAGTGACTAAATTCCCTATTTAAAACGTAAGGTCATTTCTTGTACCAGGGACACAGATTCACAGTAAAAAAGATAGACAGAGATAGATAGATAGATAGATAGATAGATAGATAGATAGATAGATAGATAGGCAGGCAGGCAGGCAGGCAGGCAGGCAGGCAGGCAGGCAGGCGGCAGGCAGGCAGGCAGGCAGGCAGGCAGGCAGACAGACAGACAGACAGACAGGCAGGCAGATAGATACATTTAAAAAATAAATGGATTATTACTCAAAATACACAAGGCTTGCTATCACAGTTACATTATTCCTGTTAAAAAACTTAGAACTCCAGTGTCCTTGCTTATCACTCTCCATTGAATCAGCTTCATGAGACTGATTCATTTGGATATTTAATGTGCTTCCAATCACCAGGTATGTCAGCCACACAGCCTGCGCTATCACCAGATGACCTGAGCTAATAACACACTAATGTCATCATCAGACCTCATTCCTAATACCTCCTTCTTTCTCCTAAATAAACAAAAATGTGTTGGCATGAAGGGTTCATTTTGGAATAAGCATCATATGGAAAAGTTTAGCCAAGTAAAAGCCCAATTCTAAATAAAATCATTTCACTAGGAATTGGGCCAGAGTGTAACAGTAACTATGAAGAGAAAACATTACATCTGAAATGAGCTGGAGAGGCAGATAGACAGCTTCCTCGATACTTCAGATTAAAAACCCTAGAAGTATATGGAACAACAGAACGGATGGCCTTGGTGAGATGACTTCATTTTATAGTTCCTCAAGCAGAGCAAGTAGAGGAACCAAAGACTTGTTGCCCTCTTTTTGGCCAAACAAAGACGCTGCCAGTAAGACAGAACCGAATATTGCAAAATGGGTAGGCAATGCCCCCACCTGATTTGTGACGGGTGTCCCTCTCCTATTGCCCTTCTGCCTTTCTCTATGTTTGAAGGACAGTTTCATTCTATCTTTCCTACGCAGACTGCCCCATTGGTTGTGCAAAGCCATTCTGAAGACTCGGACAGCGTAGATATATTTTATTTTATTTTTATTTTTGAGACAGAGTCTCACTCTGTCACCCAGGCTGGAGTGCAGTGGTGCAATCTCGGCTCACTGCAACTTCTGCCTCCCGGGTTCAAGCAATTCTCCTGCCTCAGTCTCCCGAGTAGCTGGGATTACAGGCGCGTGCCACCACACCTGGCTAATTTTTTTTATTTTTAGTAGAGACGGGGTTTACCATGTTGGTCAGGCTGGTCTTGAACTCCTGACCTCAGGTGATCTACCCGCCTCAGCCTCCCAAAGTGCTGGATTACAGGCATGAGCCACCGCACCCGGCCCCAGACAGCATATTTAAACAGATGACACAAACGCTGGATGAACATGGTGAGCAAGGAACACATGGTGAAGGAAACGTGTGAGGCTTTCCCTCCGGTCAGCAGAAAATCCACCCCTCGGGGCTGGGTTTCCAGCATGGCAACCACTGGCTAGATCTGAGTGGGGCAACTGGCCCCAGATGAGGTTCCTACACAGTTTATATACAGTTTGTCACCTTCCTCCACGTCCAATGTCACCAGCCAGCCGCACTTTACTCCTTTGAGTTCCTGGATTTAAGAGGTGGGAAAAAGGATTTCTTGGCCTCGTCCATGGATAAAAGCAAGGTATTTTATCGTATAATCTCTCATTTCCTATCTTATCAATAAAATAAAGGTAGGGGTGGGAGAGATAGAAAGGAGAAAAAGGGAGAGGAGAGAGAAATAGATACCATATTAATGTGTCATTTATCACGAAACTGGACTTCACTTTGGACTTCACCACCACAGTAGAAGAAAAGACTTAGAACGCAGACTGGATTCATTTCCTGGGGCTGCCAAAGGACCACAGACTGGGGAACTGAAGTAACAGAAATTGATTGTCTGAGTTCTGGATTCCAGGAACCTCAGATCGGGGTGTTAGCAGGGTTGGTTCCTTCTGAGCATGTGAGGGAGGATCTGTGTCACAGCTCTCTCCCAGCGGCTGGGAGCCAGGTGTTCCTTGGCTTGCAGGGGATATTGTCCTCGTATCTTCACATCGTCTTCCTCTCTGCATGTCTTTCTCTGTGTCCACATTTTATAAAGACGCAGTCTTGTGGGATTAGGGCATACCCTAATGGCCTCATCTTAACTTGATCATCTATGAAGACTCTATTTCCAAACAAGTTCACATTCACAAGCACTGGGCTTTCAACATCTTGGAAGGACATAATTCAGGTGTGACACCAAGCGTCCAGCTCTTTCCTCTCAGTTCCTTTCCACGAATGACTGCAATATTTGGGATGAGGGTTGACTATGCTCTGCTCAGGTCCTGTAAGGCACAGCCTGAAACACCTTCCTTGTCACCCCTGGTCTCAGGGCCTCTGCCACACCCAGCCTGGAAGATGCAGTCAATCCATCCATCAATCAATAAAAGGTGCTGATGAATTTCAGCACATTTGATTTCACAATGGGCTCACTTTATATTTTCCTTTTCTACTCATTCCATAAGCTGTTCCTTATTTTGTCCTTTTTTGGTGTTTGGGTTTTATTTTGTATTTTTTCCAGTTTATAACATACATGATCATTGTGTAAAATATAAGACATCCAGATAATAAGACAATTTTCTAAAATCATCTCTAATTCCTAAAAATAGCACTTTGACAACTTTACTTCCAGTCTATATTTATAAAATTGGTATTAGAATGTACCAAGAGTTTTGTATTGTGCTATTTTTACTTAATAATATTTAGGGTATAACGTGGTTCAAGGAAATAATGACCCAGCTGGGCATCTTTCTATAAAAGATTACGCATGAACAGATTTTTTTTTTTTTCAAATTCCAATTAACAGTTTCTCAAGGCACATTTTGAACAATGGTTCAGGTCAAGACAAAAATAAATCTTGAAGTAAACCGATGGTCACAATTATTGAAATTTCTGAGGGATGGATACTTGGAGCCCATCTAGTGAGAGGGTCAATGGCTGCAAGTTGCTGCTAGGCGCTACTGTATGCCTGCCTGCTCTCCTGCAGGTGTCTGTGGATGCTTCCTCTGGCCTCATTCATTTGCACGGTGGCCTCACGACACAGCAAGGCCATGATGACATTTGATAGGTCCATCTCCTTCGGGTGCCTGGCTGCCTGAATAAACCCATTTAGCCACTTGGTGATGCCAGCATATGCTCCTGCCACCTACTGAACCACCTCTCCTCTTGCCAACATCTCACAATTCCCCTCATTCCTCAGCACCTGGCTTGTGATGCTGCTTCACGGGGACGTCGCTGCGCCCTGCACAGGATGGCTGGGCTGTCCCCTTCCCTGCACTCCCTGTGTACCTCCAGTCTAATCATCAACTCACTGCTCTACCATGCTGGGTCTATGAGCCTTCTCCACTAGACTGGGTCCCTACCAAGGACAGCAGCTGCACCCCTCTCATCTCTGTTCTCCAGGTGCTGACCCCAGTGCCTGGCCCCCTGGACTGAGCTTGGGTGCACGTTTGTTAAAGAATGCCTGCTGGGCGGCGACAGGCATTCTGCAGCGAATTAGCATGCACAGGTTTGATCCTAGCAGATGTTTGCTTAACATCATCCTTGGGTGTTAAAATAAAAACTTGCATAGCATTTGACATTTGCTTATTTCAAAGTGTGGTGGAAAAGGGGATTTTGGAATCTCAGCTCTCCTCCTCTCTGTTCGGCCTTAGGCAAGTCATCCAACCTCTCGCCTCATTTAACAGGTGAATTGCCTGTTCACATAGCGGTGTTATTAAATGAGGTAATGGCTAGGAAAGGTTTAGCACAATGCTTAATACATAATCAACACGTGACAAATGTAGCGAGTGTAATGACTGCAGCTGAAAATAGCTGTCCATTAATGAGTATGCTTCTCTTTTTATTCCATAGCCCCGTGGAGTGGCACCTCAGAGGCCACAGGTTTGAGAACACATCACTTACTACACTGACCAGTTGGACACATGGCCTCACCTCCAGAGCTTGGCTCCTCAAATGCAGGGCAGGGCTGGGTTGTGCCAAAGTGAAAGGCTCTCCACTCAAAGACCTCCTGGCCCCAATCTCTGCTCCATCACTTCCTGTGTGACCCTGGGCAAGTCACTTAAACTCTCTGTGCCTAACTACTCAAAACAGTTCCTGGAACAGTAAGTGCTCAGTAAATACTAGCTGGCTAAAAGTTCATAGAATAAAAAGGCAGAATCAGGAAGTGTTGTTCCTCTTAGCCTGCACGGATCGTGATTCTTTTATTTTTCTCCCATCTATCATTCCAGTATCATGTAAATTCAGATACTTAAATTCTTTAACTTGATAAAGAATTTTAAGTGAGATCTAAATTAAAGCAATTTCTGGATTGCTTCTGCTACATTCCATTTGGCATGCTGACTTGCTAACCTGATATGGTCTTTTGTTGTTGCTTGTTTGTTTGTTTGTTGTCCTATACATAAAGCTTTACTAAGAGAGGAGAAAACAGAACAAGGTCCATTTGTGCCCAAACATGGGATGGATGGATGGTTCTGTCCTGTTAATGCTGATTAGTATAACATGTGGCAAGTAGAACCGTTTTGTAAGAGATTATGATAAGATCTTTAGAAAACCAGACTGCAGCCAGATGTGGTGGCTCACTCCTGTAATCCCAGCACTTTGGGAGGTCGAGGTGGGAGGATCACTTGAGGTCAGGAGTTCAAGACCAGCCTGGGCAACATGGTGAAACCCCATCTACTAAAAATATAAAAATTAGCTGGGCACGGTGGCACCTGTCTGTAATCCCAGCTACTCGGGAGGCTGAGGCAGGAGAATCATCTGAGCCTGGGAGGCAGAGGCTGCAGTGAACCGAGATTGGCCACTGCACTCCAGCCTGGGTGACAGAGCAAGACTCCTTCTCAAAAAAAAAAAAAAAAAAAAGAAAGAAAACCAGACTGCAAGCTCTCTGAGGGCAGGACAGTAGCTGCCTTTGCTTCCCACTATTTCCCAAGTACCAAACGCAATGCCTGACACATATTAGGTGCTGAATACTTCTTGAATAAATCAGAAAATGACTTAGATGTAAAAGTAACATCTTTGTTGCTTGATTCAACATAGCTTACTCATTTCATTGGTCCAGTTATAGATTCTGTTAGATATGAGTTCTAAATTTCTTTTCAAAGAATCAATATGTCAGTATGTTCAATTCTTTGCCTTCTACTTTTAATCTTAACTTCCTCGTAAAGCAACCTGTTTCGATTACCTGCTCCACCCTGACTCATTCCAATTACGTGCTTCACCCTGACTCCTTCCAACTACCTGCTCCACCCTGACTCATTCCGATTACCTGCTTCACCCTGACTCATTCGGATTATTACCTGCTCTACCCAGACTCATTCGGATTACCTGCTCCACCCTGACTCCTTCCGATGACCTGCTCCACCCTGACTCATTCCAATTACCTACTCTACCCTGACTCATTCTGATTCCGTCCCCTGTCATAACCATTTTTCCCGCCAAACCACTCACCCCGTCACTCTCTTTAAATTAGCCAATCAGAATTAGTTTAACCTGTGCAGTCTAACCCTAGCCAATAGGGGAAGGACACAGCAGCAGGGGCCATGGGCTTCAGGGATAAGAACCCCTTCCCCTCTCTTGTCCAAGTGTGCACTCACCATTGCTCCATCTGTAAGGGTGCACCCTTCTATAGAAGTAACTTGCCTTGCTGAGAATTAAAAAGAAAATTTTATATTCGAGTGCTATTTCTTTTGCAGCACCGAAACTTTATTTATAACAATTCCCTGTCACTTCCTGAGGTCTCCCAGGAGATACACCCCTTAGAACTAGAAAAGAAAAGAAGGAAGGTTGCTTTTCGTCAGTTTCTGGAAGCAACCCCGCTAGCCCATCACTGGTGGAAGCAGAGGGATCTCGTGATGTGGAGCCGTCAGGGTGTGTGACTCCAGGTGAAGTCAGGCAGTGTTTGCTTGTTTCAGCTGTGCAGCGTGGACACACTTCAGAAGTAAAAGGTACCCGCAGGTGACAGAGGAAAAAGAGGAAAAGGTTGTCCCAACAGATAAACTCGTGGGCCGCTTGCTCAGTCCAGGAGGCAGGGCTTTGCCTTTGGGTTAGAATCTTAGAGCCACAGGCAGAAGGAGGCCTAGGCGGGTCTGAGAGGCTTTAAATTCCCTTCATCATGGGTCACGGGTCTTTTAAATTCCTTTCCATCCGACTTGACTCGCCAAAGCCACTGTTGTTCAGCTACTCTGAAGGGAGAGATGATCAGTTTTAGGATCATGTCCACCTACAGCCGGTTACTGAACCCTCTTCTGGGAAGGCGATCACCATCTGGGAACTGATAAGGATGACTCTTTGGACCTTCAAAGAGGGGACCCAAATTTGAGGCTGTGTCCTCCCAGCAGAGGTAGCCAGTAGGTCCTGCCCAACTCCACATTTTGACAGGCTCAAAGGCAGTGATATGAAGGGTTAGGACAGGGGCCACTCAGGGACACTCCCTTTCTGACATCTTGGAGCTGAGTAACTACCTATCAGGACAAGTGAAGGAGTCAAAACCTGTTTGGAACTCAAAGAGTGAAAACTCCTGCTTAGATTGAATTGAAATGAGAAAAAGCAGCCCTGTCATTAATCAGGCAGGGAGGAGAAGCATAGAGGAAGCCGGCTGCAGAGTTAGCAGAACAAACTGCTTCTCTCAAGGTCATGCAGGGGTTGGAAAAGCCACAGCGACACTCTCTTTGGGGGATCAACAGCTTTCTTATCGAGAACACCACAGACTTCCCTTGTATTTTCATTTGTGGGGTAGGGGGTGGCCCACACCCAGTTGTTGCCTGGTCAAGTTGACAAACATCAGGAAGCTGCCGCCCTCCATCTTCTCTCACTTCTCAGAGAGTCAGAAAGGCAGCCAGGCAGGGCTGGAGAGCTAGGTTCACTTTGTATAAAATTTTAACACATAGAATGAAAGCAGATGATAGCACATTGATGTGGCCAGGATTCCCCACAGAGAGGTTACCATAGAGGAGGCTCCTGAGAGGCCACCTTGCCTTCCCTGTGCTGCCGGGCAGGAGGGTCTGCAGGCAGAAGGAGTTTCCCCAGCCCAGCAATGACAGCAAAATGAAAGTGCTGGCCCAGCACCCACAGCATCATCCTGAGGCCATCAGAATGACAGCTGACCTCCCTCGGGGGAGCTCCTAGGCAAAGCAGGGAAGAAGAAGGAAGAAGGAATAGAAGAAGGAAAGATTGTTTTGTTTTACAGTTTGAAAATACAATGTGCAAAAAGTACTTTATGCATAAGGAGGGGGAAATTCAAATTCAGGCCTCACCTAGCAGGTCAGCTAGCAGTCACACACCTGGAGACAGTTTCCAGTGCTGGCAGAAAAGTGAATCAGTCTGCTAGTGTCTGGGATTAGAATGGCATACACAGGAAAGCCCACAAAATCAGCAGGTCGTATACCTTTCAGGGTGGAGATTCAGAAACACCGGCCTCTAGTAGGTCTCCTTTTATGACTCATGTGCCAAAGACTGCTCTGTCCCACTAGGTTGTCTTGTTAGGTTTTCAGACCTACCTGGTGACACCTTGGTCAATAAGCACATGAACAGATTCAAAATTGAGGCACCCTTACCCAGAGGAGGTGCTAAAGCACAAGCCCCCAACCCAGATGGAAGACCTGACTGCCTTTTTGCCCCAAGGCTCGGCTGGGTGGAATATCTGCTTCCTCTCGGGAAAGTAGAGTTGAGGACTCCCATTCTCCGTGGTCGTTAATTTCAGACAGGTTCTAGTAATCACATGACTTGCTCTGCAGTTTCTCCAGCAACTCGGAGCTCCCAACCCTCTTGCACGCACAGCCCTTGCTGCCGCTGTTCCTGACCTGTTACCAGGCCCTGATCCCATCTTCCAGATAGGAGCAGACCAACTTCTGCCAGGCCTCCTGGCCACTGCCAAATCCCTTCTCGAGTAGCAAATCTGAAGTGACTTACACATCCTGAAGTATGTTACAAATGTTTATTATTATTCCAGCGAGAAACAGATATCATTTTCACCACTACACGCAGTAGTGTTGTAAGAGGCAATATAGAGCTCACTCTCCTTTTTTGAGCGTTACACAAATACAGCGGCAAACACTCATCAAGTGTGGGATGCGGTGGGGGTGGTGAAAGGAAGTAACAACTTCCCAAGAGGAAAATAAAAAATTCTAAACCCTTTATTAGAAAACTATTGGAATCTTGGTCAACTCTATTCCATCCCCTTTACTTCAAATGTAGCTGAGTGTGTTGAAGTTACCTGTCCAAGTGATGAACCAATGGGAAGAAAGATCAAGACACCCTCGCCACCACCGGTCCCCCTGACTCTTCCTCCTCCCCTGGACACAAATTCCAATTTCAATCCTAAATTTGATGTGCTTTAAGGAATTTCTAAAGCACTTTCAGACGGAGTATCTCATTCTGCATTATGAAGCAACCATTGTAATTGGCCCTGTTATTTGGACTCAGAGAGTTTCTGTGGCTCGCCAAAGGTGACGCAGCCTGTAGCAGGGGAGGCAGGATGTGTAATTTTGCAGGCTGGTGCTCCAAATTCTCACTCCCTTCTTGCCACCATGTGGCCTTCCCCATTCAAGGAAGATGTGTAGCTGTGCATCCAACAGCCGTTTAAAACCATAAGCATCACAGTCCAGGAATATTCAGTGGCAGGCTCCAGCTCATAGAGCCTGTTCACAGCAACACTGAATTTGGACGCAGGGCGCCAGGGCTGGGGGTGTGGGGTGGTGGTGTCCACTGTGTTTCATTTCATTTTACTGGCCCTTTCCAGGACAATTAGGTCACTGGCAATCCTTCCCACCCCCTGCCTTTTTTTTTTTTTTTTTTTAACCCTGACATTAATAGATTCTCCTAATCTTTCTGTTTTGTTTTGAAACCCACAATGTCAGAGAGGTAAAAAAAAAAAAAAAAGCCAGTCTTGGCCACCTTTCCCTAGAGATTAAATGGCATATCCTGCTTAGTGGAAAGGCAATGAAATTCTACCCTTCACCCCACTTCTTCCAACTTTCTTCCTTCTTTTTACCTAACGAAGCCGGCTCCATCCTCCCTTCCTCCTTCAGCATGCCAAGCCAGCCTGACTTGGCCTTTCCTGCCTACAAATCTAGGCAAAAATAAGACAAAGCAACCCTCTAAAAATCATCCATCGAGATTACATTACTTTCAAGTTGTTATTTATGAGGTTGGTTGCTGCCACTAGAATAAAATTCTCTGCTCAGTGTCTCGGTGTGTCCTGCTGTTAGCCAAGCTGTCTTTACTGCTTGTTTTGTCTCTATTTGTCTTTTGTATCAGCATGGCCTTTTGCATGAGAGCTTTACCACGCCAGGGCTGGTAACTGCTTTGAACTTACTTGGTAACACACCAAGCTCTTAACAAATATTTAATGAGAAAAGAGACAAAGCCATAGCTCTGCTAGAGGAAAGCGAACACAGAGATGGAAGGGCTCCGTGTCTCAAGGAAACATTTTTTTCTGCCGTTTCCTTAGAAAATCAGCTGCAAATCATGAATGCTGATGACTGTCTAAGCTCAGAGTGACTCATACACCAGAAGACACAATTAAAGCCATGAACAGTTTCTATCTTAACTCAGAGGGAAGCAGAGGAGAGTTACAGCATAGACGCTGCAGAGTCATCTGCTAGTTAAGCTGCTGAATTCCCCACAAACTGTCTCCTCCTCTGGCTGATCAGTGGCCCAGCAAGGCTTCCTAAACACTCTTTTTACATGGCCTTGGTTACTGTGAAATAATTGACAGAGGAAGTCTGTCAATTATTTAGAGCAAGGAAAAGGAACCAGGAAAAGCGAACAGCCCTGCTAACACCTATGGGGATACCAGAAACGGAGAATCCTGGCGAGGATTCTCTCAAACCTGGGGATAGTTTGCACTGGCTTATCACCATGAGGTGCCCACGAGCCACCCAGGATCATCACCCTCCCTTTCTACTGTATTCTCTTTTTCCAGTAGCCAGGACTCCTCCTCTAGAGGGAGGAATCTTCCCTTCCCGCTTCGGATTGTTTAAAAATGCTTCCACTATCGCTTGGCCCAAAGCCCTAGGAAGCCTTCCTCCGGGGACATAGGCAAAGGTCATTGCTGGGGTGCATCTGGATGGAGGTGCTTCCTCTGGGGAAGAAGGCACAGAGCATCACTGGGTATACCTGGATGGAGGTGCTTCTAGGTCCTTCAGTGACATTAGACTACCTACCCTTCATTGCACCCGGCATTGAGATGCCAGTTGTCTTAGATGGTTAATTCTTGAGTTTCATTTGGAGTTTGTTCTAAATAATTTAATTAATTTGTGATGGATAAAAATCTGCCTTGCTTTCTGAATTTGTTGCCCATCTTAATTTCCACCAGAAACAAATACACTAATGCATCCTGAGAAAAATATCTCCACAATCCTGCCATAAACTTAGCAAGTCTTTACCATCAATCAAAAAAAAATATAGTACTCTTGTGGACTCTGATTCCAAATCCTGTTTCTTATTTCTTAACTCCAAATGAGAAATCCAATTCGTAACCATCCACTTGAAATTTGGGTAGGGGTTATGACAGTAGAAACATACAGGATTTCACACTGCAAACTAACAGATTTTGGAATCTCCATAGGTGTATGCAAGTCACATAAATGCAGGTTTCAATGAAAAAGCGTAATCAGTATTGCTTTGTTAAATTTAAATTCTGCTTAAATAGAGACCAACTGCTAGAGGGTAAAAAGACATTTAAAATTATAAACATCTTTTAAATCTCAGTCAACTGTCTCCTTTCCCTTGATTACACAAACTTATCTCTCTTCAAACAGCTACAGTTCCTGTCCAAATCATCTCCTACTGTCTCTGCCCTGTTTGGACAAGTTTTTCCTTTTTCTATACCACCGTAGAAGGGTACATACTTGGAGACCAATGTTGAGTGAAGTCTATGACAAGGAAAAGTACATTGTATCATATTGGATTGAATTGGTGGTTGTACCCAACAGGCCAGAGACAAATAGACTAAAGTTGCTGTTTTACAATTATAACTCAATCTTAGGATCTTATGAACACTTTCAAGACATATTTCTATAAAGCATTGTAATACAAGACATGGAAGCTCTTGCACTCAAACTATATCCAAAATAGTATCAGGCCTATTTGCAAGTTCTGAGTTGGTGAAAAAAGTCATAAATAAAGATATGTCTATGACTTTTCTTCCTTACAAGTTAGTATTCTGAAGTTTAACAAATAAGACTGGATAAGTGGTAATCCATTTGGATAATTATACATAGCTTGAATTGTCTTGATTCAAATTCAAATTTGATCATTTTAAAGGGTATCAAAAATATATCAATAATTTTAGACTCTTGGCATAATCTTAGTTGATGTTTTTAATAGACAAATTTTTAAAAAGCACATATTTTGAAATATATTCATACCCACATATATATATCATTATTAATATCACACTGCGTTCTCTACTTTTAAGAATAGGTATAGGCTTAAGGCTAATCAATATCAATAGCAAAATGCATTTCTGGATGTCCCAATACACTCACTCATCTTTTTAATTGTTGAAACTCAGGCCAGTCAAATTAGTCATGTATGAAATAACCTAGCATAATCAAACATACACGGACACATACACACACACAAATGAGTGTACTTAAAAGTGGAGAAATAGGAGTAGGGTTGTGGATTGTATCAATGTCAATTTTCTCATTGGAATATGCTATTCCAGTGGTGCAAGATGCTACCATAGGGAGAAACTGGCCAAGGAGTGTACAGAATTTCTCAGTATTATTTGTTACAGCTTCATGTGAATCTATTATCTCAAAATAAAAAGCTGAAGAAAAAAGGCAAGGAAGAAAACAATATAGTATACTGCCACTTAGTTTTTTAAAAAAAAATACGTATGTATATGTATCTATATAGATATATACACAGAAAGACGCACATGCATTTACAAGTATAAGAGCTATATGTATACTATTTCTGTAAGGATAACTAAGAAATCATTAATACTGATTGGTTCTGAGGAGAACTAAAGAAACTAATGGAATGCGTATTTACTTTTCATAGTATACCTGTCTGTGGCTGTTGAATTTTGAGCTACTGGCATTATTCATTCAAAAAATAATTTTGGGGGATTGAGAACAAAATAGCCATTTCAAACCTAAAACAAAAACAAAACAAAAAAACAGCTCGGCACACAACGAAAGCCTAGTGAATCCATATCAAGAGCCATAATTCTGATACACACATCCACAATGGAGACGAAAATATAGAATCTTAAGTATCTTACGGCTTGAGATGCAATAGGACAGTCTGCAGTTGATCTTCCGGAAGAGCTGCTTGTTAATGGGCCAGAGGAGGAGAGTGAAGAGCTGAATGGTGTTGATGATTAGCCCTGAGGCAATAAAGACGTAGCAGAAGACCAGGTGGCACAGGAACTGAGACTTCAGCAGTCCCGCGAGGTCCATGATGCGTGGACGCTCTTATTCAGAAATAAATAACTACCCACAGTCAAAGATTTCCAGAAGGAAGAAAGATCCAGGACTCAGGAAGGCGTCTAAAACACAAACAAATAGGAAATGTTAGCAAAAACACGATGTGCTTTTAGAGTCAGAAAAAAAGTGCTCTGAAAAGAAAAATATACACTTGAGGTTAAACTCATGTGCGTTAGTTGATTTATCTTTATTTTGCAAACATTGATGTAGTGCTTACTTCCTGTCGAGCATAGTCTAAGCCCTTTAACAATAATCCTTCCTTTAATTCTCCCAATATCCTCTGAGGTTGGTACTTTGATTTCAGATGAGGAAACTGAGTCCTGGAAGGTGGAGCCACTCGGCCAGGGTTCACCGCTCCCCAGCTGGGCAGCAGCTGAGCCAGCCACGGAGCCCTGGGTCCCACTTGAGTGACGGCTGCCCACAGGACAGGCCGCAAATCCGGCCTCCCCTCCTGCTGCCATCGCGGCCTGAGCCCCATTCTCTCACCCCTAGCCCCACGCCATCTCCCTCCTCTCATTCTCCTCCTCCAGATCCCTGCTCACCCCTCGCTTCCAGCAGGACTGCCCTAAAGTCAAGCCTGCCCTGGACAAGGACGAGGACATACCCAGAGTGGGTGCCACCCCTCAAGCAACCGGGACTAGGGAAGCATTTACTTGAAAACCACCACTGTTTCTCCAGCACATGAGAGCCATCACTGGCACAGGGTGGGAACTTAATTTTAAAAAATATTTGTAGAATGATTTAGTGAAGGTACACGAGGGCTCAACTTTGAGGCTATCAGTAAATACAAATAACTAGGAAGGTAAGAAAACTACCCCCACCACACCCTGGTCACACACACAGAGACACATAGACACACACACAAACACCACACACACACACACACACACACACACACACACACAGATACACACATCCTTAAGTGTTCTCAAATCAGAAAGAAACTCAACACATACATACAGTTAGACTCACAGTCCTGTAATCAGTCTCCAGCTCAAAACAGAATAATGAAATGACTTTACAGTTTGGGAAATAAAAGCTTTCCTTTGAGGAAAATGGCAGGAGTTTCAAATACTCTGATGAAAAGGAAAGCTGTGAGCAGCGGACTCGCTTTTCCTGGAAGCAGAAGAGCCTGGCAGACTACCCCAGGAAGACGTCTAATGTTACGACAAACTTTCTAACAATAATAGTTGAGAGGCCCTAAAATTGTTACAATCTTTTTTAATAATGAACAATCTGTATACAGATGGTCCTCGACTTATGATTCCACTGAAAATTTCCAGCTTTACGATGGTGTAAAAGCAATATCCATTCAGAGAAATTTTAATTCGAGGCCATACAACTCTTCTGTTTTTCACTTTCAGTACAGTATTCAATAAATTACAAGGCCTATTCAGCACTTTGTTATAAAATAGGCCTTGTGTAAGATGATTTGGCCTAACTGTAGGCTAACGTAAATGTGCTGAACATGTTTAAGGCAGGCGAGGCTAAACGATGATGTTTGGTAGGTGAGGTGCATGCAATGCCTTTTTGACCTACAGTATTTTCAATTCGCAATGGGTTTATCGGGATGTAATCCCATCATAAATTGAGGGGCATCTGTAAGAGTTTCACACATGTGATCTCATTTTAAGGCTCCTATGAATCCCACAAGACGAGTATTCTTATCATCCCACTTTTCAGAATAAGAAACTGAGGCAATGGTGAGGTTGGGCAACTTGCCTAAGCTTGCCACAATCGGTAACTGATCTTGGGGCTCAGTTTTAACTCCGAGCTCTTTCTCCTGCACGTGTCAGGGGTGTTCTGCTCCTGAGATGTGAGGCGGGAGGTCTCTTGGGCTCACAACTCCCTTTGGCAGAGCAGCCCAGAAATTCCCCCAAGGGCAGAAGACAGCACAGCTTTGAGTGCAGTCACTCCTGGGTCATGCAGGTTGGCTCTGAGGATGGTTTCGGGCATATGGAGAGTCACAGGGAGGCATGTTTGCACTTACTGGGACTATCCAGAAGGCAGGCTGCATTCCTGCAAGATTCCTATACATTTCTGATAGGAGGGAAATGGGAAGAAGCTTTCGGCCTGATTTCTCTGAAATCATCTTAGCTCCACTGAGACATCCCATTCTCTAGGCCCCAGAAGCTCCACTCTCTGGCACAAATCCAGGCCCTGCAGGGTCTGAATCATCACATCTCTGGCCTTTCGCAGACGGCATTTCCACAGATATTTCCAGGCTGGAAAACTCCTTACTGAGTTTCAACACTCCCAGGCTCCCACTGAGGAATAGGCGTTAAGCTGGCAGCCCCCGCTCAGTGCACTTGACTTTGGGAGCCACATAAATAGGAGGGGTTTACATGGGTTTGCAGCTTGGCAGCAGTAACAGTTTGATGTTGAATATTCATGCAATTTGTTCATTGTCCCCGGATTAGCCACTAATAGCGTCAAGACAATCTGGCCAGGCCAAGCTCGGTTTTTCACTAGGTTTCTGGGGTCTAGAGTTTGTAAATTACTTGACAAATCCTTTGCTTTGCCAATTCTACACTAAGAAAAGGAAGCCAGCTGACATCGGAAATGCAGGGGGTTAAATGCTGCCTTCTTCAGTGTCCAGTTCAATATTAGGGCATTAGGAAGAAAAATTAAGAATTCTTTTTTCCTTATAAAATTTCAAGGTAAATTGAAATTTTACCGTGCGTAAAACCCTCACTAGCAATGCATGAACCAGGGTCTCAGATAGCATTGGTGAAGTGTAAAGAGGAACCCCAAGCAGATGAGCCTAAAGAGAAATCAGACAAGGCTTGGTTTGTTTTGGGTCTTGAGTTTCAGCTCCACTTCTGTCCTCAAGGCCCATTTCCTAGCCTGGTGTGGGGTGGTTGCATGTGGGCTTGAGAGTTCAACTGCCCAAGTTTGCAGCTCTGCCCTGTCTCTTATTAGTTGTGTATTGGTACCCTATTTTGGGCACATTAACTATTCTGCACCTCAGTTTTTCTATCAGTAAAAAGGGACAACAGATTCTAATCAAAATCCCAGGGAGGCTATTGCTTTTTAATTTCGTGAAACTTAGGCGGATTCTCAAATTTATATGCAAACGCCAAAATAAGAATAGTCAAGGCATCCTCTGAAGAAGAAGGTGAGAAGTGCTCGAGTTGTTAAATAATTTAACTGACTTTAGAATGAGGGCTGATGATTAAAAGAAACGTGGCTGAATTATGTAGGGGTGTGTCTGGAGGACAAATGTGTGACATACGTCTTAAGTTCATTCCAGATAGACGTTTTGGGGACCCATCTGGATTAGTCCATTCTCGCACTGCTATAAAGAAATACCTGAGACTGGACAATTTATAAAGAAAAGAGGTTTAATTGGCTCATGGTTCTGCAGGCTGTACAGAAAGCACAGTGGCTTCTGATTCTGGGGAGGCCTCAGGAAGCTTTTACTCATGGCGGAAGGCAAAGGGGGAGCGGGCATCTTACAAGGCAGGAGGAAGAGCGAGAGAGAGAGAAGGGGGAGGTGCCACACACTTTTAAACAACCAAATCTCAAGAGAACTCACTCATTATACGGTACCAAGGGGGTACAGTGCTAAACCATTCATGAGAACTCCGCCCCCGTGATCCAATCAGCTCCCACCAGGTCCCACCTCCAGTGCTGGGGATTACAAATTCAACGTGAGACTTGGGCAGGGACACAGATACAAACCATATCAGCTTCTTTCCCATCTTGAATAAAACAGCACTTTCTCTTCTAACGTGGCAATTAGCCAATTTCATGTCATGCCGAGGAAAGATGGTATAAATATCTGGCCAGCGATGAAAATAGCTGGAGAGAAACATTTTAAAAATACTTTGCCTAGTTCCCTTTTAGCTTTGCAAGTACCTAGAATGTGACGGAAAGAGTCTTTCCAGCAAATCCACTTCAGTGGCTTATTACATGAGGCAAGAATATGACAAAGAACTTATGCTGTTTCTGAGCATATCAGAGCGCTACTTACAGAGTTTCTAAATCAACAGAGAACTAGGAAGCTGCTGCTATGCCATATTTCTGCGAAAAAAAAAAAGATGTTTCTTACTATCAAGGCCAAAAATGATGAACTCGTGTGCTTGACAAAGTAAAGATGATGTATTGCCTTTTTCTGGGTTTTGGTACTCATGAAATGAAACAGCAGGTGTTTTCCCATCAGTGAGCTCAGAAGCAGCGTTTAACCTTTACTTTTTCCTGAAATTCACCCCATGACCTTGAGACACCCTAGGGATGGGAGTGCAGGAGGCCAAATTCTACTGGGAATTCTCTTTCAACAGGTTCACACAAAGAAATCTGGCCACAGAGGCTGGCACGGTTACCTCTGGGGGCAGACAAGTGACCCGATGAGGGCTTAAAGCAGTAAAAGGAAAGGGGAGGCCGGGAGCAGTGGCTCACACCTGTAATCCTAGCACTTTGGGAGGCCCAGGTAGGTGGATCACTTGAGGTCAGGAGTTCGAAACCAGCCTGGTGAAACCCCATCTCCACTAAAAATACAAAAAAAAAAAAATAGCTGGATGTGGTGGTGGGTGTCTGTAATCCCAGCTACTCGGGAGGCTGAGGCAGGCGAATCACTTAAACCTGGGAGGCAGAGGTTGCAGTGAGCCGAGATTGTGCCACTGCACTCCAGCCTGGGCGACAGAGTGAGACTCCATCTCAAACAAAATAAATAAATAAAAGGCAGGGGGAGGCTTCTCTCCAGATAATGAGTCCCAGACAAACCACAACCTAGTGAACTAAGGCAACATGCAAAAGGGATCGCGGAAACACAAAGACATTTTTAAATCATACAGAATAGGAAAAATGCCAGGAAACCATATCCGGATACATTATTGGAATTTTCCAGAAGGCCGCATCTGACCCATGAGCTCAATATGCATCACCTGAAAATGACTGCACCAGCGTTTAAAACATAGACAAAAAGCAGTTGTCACTAGGAATCACAACAGGTTCAAGGAGACATAATCTAATCCAAATTACCTTTATTTCCCAGGCCACTGGTAGATTAGTAGATATTGAATTTAGCCAATCATTTGGCAAAGTCTCTGGCAGTCCTCAAGGGCACATACTGAAAAAGTGTTGGCTATGAGTCTGTGTGAAAGGAATTCATGGCTATTTGAGAAAGTAGGTAACCATCATTAACATTAGCAAGGTTTCTTACTGAATACCAGAAGAAGTCTCCTTCAGCACCACTTGGATGTAAAAACTGAGTCATTCGTATAAGGATGGGAGAGACAAAGGGGGTTAAATACATAGGGGATGTTGACTATAAGCCAACAGTGTACCAAAGGGGTTAAGTCAGCCAGTATAGACCTTTAGAGAATATTAGAATACACTGAGTGGGAAAAGTTCACAAAGAAGTATAATTCTTAACTGTAAAATAATAATGTGTGCATATATGTCATTCATACCTAAATCTATTACTATATCTATAACTATCTATTATTAGTGGCTAAATGTTGGCAGAAGGATTATGGCTGATCTCCTTTTCTTCTCTGTGTTTTATCATCCTTTTTTACGACGAGAATGAAATCCACCCCATTCTGAGCACAGAACTGGACAGACTCCATTTCCCAGCCCCCGTGAAGGTTAGGTGTGGGCAGATGATGGGCATATGCCACAAAAGTGAGATGCCTGCAAGTCTCTGAGGGAGAAAGTTTACACTGCTTGCTAACTTGAGGAGGGACCACAGGGTTGGCATGCTCTATTAAAGTCAGCAGAAAGGTGATCAACCAAAGCACCAGACAAGAGAAATTCTGAAATGTGCAGGCAACGCGAGACCACCTGGAAGCCAAGCACTGCTGTGTGTTGGGGGGCTGGGGGTGGGGGGGTAATGGGGGGGTTGGGGGGCGGGAGGCAGAATGCAGCATAGTTGTTGGAGCTTCCGCTGTGGAGAGGGCACTGAGAGTCAGGCAGTCTGGCTACAAATCCAGGCCTGGCCACTTTACAGCTATGGAAGTTGATTAACTTACTTGGCCCTCACTTTCCTCGTGTGTAAAATCAGAGCAATAACTTCAGCATGAGGTGGCTGCAAGGAGCAAGTATAGTAAAGCATTGGAAACACTTGCCAGGATGCCTGGAACGGGGAAAACCCCAAGTAATGGGGGATTTTTCTATCATTTGCAAGAAGGCAAAGAAGGAGCAGCTAAGACAGATGACTTCGTCTCTCCTGGGAAAGCCAATGAGATGGTCGTCAACTCAGTTTTCCTTCTCTACCTATCTAGATCAAGACATTGTCTTTAATTTACCTGTAATGTGTTAAAGCATCCTCCCCCATATGTTTTCATTCTAACCTATACTTTTCTGCTAGTGACTCAGAAATGGGAAATAATGCAGTCACAAGCACTCACGTGTACTTTACCTTCCTTAACTATGTAATCTTCCCAAAGCGTGGGATGGAGATGAGGTGATAGGGTTTGGCTGTGTCTCCACCCAAATCTTACCTTGAATTGTAGTTCCCATAATCTCCACATGTCGTGGGAGGGAACCAGTGGGAGGTAACTGAATCATGGGAGTGGTTACCCTGATGCTGTTCTTGTGATCGTGAGTTCTCATAAGATCTGATGGTTTCATAAGGGGCTTTTCACCCTTTTGCTTGGTGCTTCTCCTTCCTGTCAGCATGTGAAGAAGGTTGCGTTTGCTTCCCCTTCTGCCATGATTGTAAGTTTCCTGAGGCCTCTCCAGCCCTGCAGAACTGTGAGTCAATTAAACCTCTTTCCTTTATAAATTACCCAGTCTCGAGTATGTCTTTATTAGCTGTGTGAGAATAGACTAATTAATACACATAAGAATATGTTAAAGTGCAAGCGAGACAAACGCTCTCACTCTAGCACTGAATTTCTCAGGTACCATTTCTACCATGAAGTTCTACAGACACAGACAGCCAGGCATACACACTCCAGCACAGCGTTTGGTCGATGGGACTGCTGAAGTGAGTTATGTACGGTGTAAGGCAGATGGTACCATATGCTGCCCAGCCTATGTTGGTGAAAACATAAGCAAATGAAAGAAAACTCAGAATTTCCCCATGAAAGAATCCAAACCGCATCCTTCTCTATACAGAGAGCTGTCAGTTTAATGCATTAAATTAGGCAACAAGATATCCTTAGTTAAGACTTCATATTCTGTCTTATTCAAAATTCTGAAACTATTAAATAAGCATGAACTTCAGTCATACTCAGGAAGACAGGCTAAACCTGAAATGGGATTAACTCCGCCACTAGCTGGATTTAAAAGGTATTTATTTGTTTGTTTTTAATATAGATTCACATTGCAGCACTCAACCAGGTCAGGGTTGTAGAAAAGGCAAAACTTCCTTTCTTCCAAAGAAATCAGTCCAAGAAGAATTGCTGAAATAATGCTCCTGCCCACTTTAGCATTGTCATTAAAATCTAAACATCTTATTGAAGCTCTTTTGACCTCAAAATCCAGAACATACAAAAAGAGATCAAAGAAATGAATGCAAATTATTTTATACTACTTTTTACATTCCAAACTAGGCTTTTTGTTTTTAATGATAATACTCCATTCTACAGAGATGAGGTAGAATGGGACCCCTAGCCTCAGTGTGAGTACAAATCCATCTTTTTAGTAAGCAATTTCACACACATATTAGGGCCTTAAACAGCTTCATACCACTTAATAGTAAACCAATTTCTGGCTATCTTAAGGACAAAATTAACTTTCAGAAAATTCCCTATGTATAAAGATATTCAACCACTACTGTTTCCAATGCCAAAAATTAGAAACAATTTGTATTTCTGACATAAGGAAACAAAAAACTGAATTATGGAAGACCCACCAAATGGAATAGGTGAAGTGTCACTAAAATAGGTTTGCAGTAAAATGGATACATTTTCATTATGATATTAAGTGACAGGATACAAAATCATGTGGAGAAAATAATCACAACTCTAAAAAAAAAACCGGAAGAAAAGAAAGCCTTACCAAAACACTAACAGCAGATATCTTTGTGTATACACACACACACACACACACACACACACACACACACACACACACACTTAAACAAGTCTGTCCACCTGGAAGCCTGGGCTGGGTTCAAGACTACAGCTTCAGCATCTTTATCCTTAGGAAGAAACTGACAAGGTGCACTCCAAGATCCCTTCCAAGTCAAACACACGGCTGCCCTCCCAAGGCAAGCTTTTTCCTCTATGCCACTGCACTCTTCCTGAACAGTGATTAAGCGATCCAGCTCTGCCACTCTTCCCCAACTCCCATCTACAGAGAAGATTCCCAAGTGGCCCAGGTTAACCAGACAAATAAAAGAAAATAAAAACTTCAGGGACTGGCAAAGAGAGCAGCACAGCTAAAGTGGGGACAGCTGGCAGATTGTTTCTGAACCAATATTTCGGTCTCCAGGACACAGAATCCCCAGGTACTGCGGTGCCCACAGAGGAGAGGGGAGTGGATACAGTCCCAGGAGAAAGGAGGGAGCTGGTGTCCAGCACACACTACATTCAGATTGCCAGCACTCCTTCAGGTCGGATGAATGTGGCCAAAGTCTCCACCAGGGCGGCAACTAACTTGTACAGGTCTGAGGAACGTGCTCTGTTCTCACTCCTGGCAGACAAGGCTGGGTTCAGTTTTGGCTCCCTTAGAGTTCAGTTGGCCTAATTCCTACAACCAAACAGGAGAGAAAGTATTCTAGACTGGATTTAACTGTCTTTGGGACGAGCTCTAAGTAACATAGTCCTCAATTAAAAAATAATCATCATCGGCCAGGTGCAGCGGCTCACACCTGTAATCCCAGCACTTTGGGAAGCCGAGGTGGGTGGATCATGAGGTCAGGAGTTCGAGACAGCCTGGCCAACATGGTGAAACCCCCATCTCTACTAAAAATACAAAATTTAGCTGGGCGTGGTGGCAGGCACCTGTAATCCCAGCTACTTGGGAGGCTGAGGCAGGAGAAATGCTTGAACCCAGGAGGTGGAGGTTGCAGTGACCCAAGATCGCGCCATTGCACTCCAGCCTAGGCAACAAGAGCAAAACTCTGTCTCAAAAAAAAAAAAAAAAAAAAAAATTATCATCATCTAATGGTATGGCAGAAGCCTATACAAAATTCATGTATTTTAAAATTTCATAGAACAGTCCTTTGTCCAGTACATGATGTCTGTTAAAACAAACCAAACTCTGAAGAAACCATAAATCATACTTAACTTTTTCACTATGTCCTCTAATAACTAACCTTTAGTCCCTCTTCAAAGCCCCACTCTTGCATGATAAAAAGTCAGGTCTATGGAAAAGTGATGCTTCTAAGTTCATATTTAATAGTTGGTTCTGAGTAGCTTGTGAGAGAAAAACAAATTGGCAAGAGCTTTTATACCTAGTCCACAGAAAGCTAGACTCAGAAGCAAACACAGATGGAAAACCTTGGTAACTTATTCTGTCATGAGAAGTAAGGCAGAAGGAAATTAAGTGTTCTCTAAGGCTTTCCGTAGCTTTAATTGCTATGAGATGAAAATGTTTTTGTTTTTGTTTGTTTTTGAGATGGAGTCTCCCTCTGTTGCCCAGGCTGGAGTGCAGTGGCACAATCTCGGCTCACTGCAACCTCCGCCTCCTGGGTTCAAGCAATTCTCCTGCCTCAGCCTCCAGAGTAGCTGGGACTACAGGCATGCACTATCACGCTCGAATAATTTTTGTAATTTTGGTAGAGATGGGGCTTCACCATGTTGGCCAGGCTGGTCTCGAACTCCTGATCTCAAGTGATCCGCCTGCCTCAGCCTTCCAAAGTGCTGGGATTACAGGCGTGAGCCACAGCACCTGGCCAAAAATGTTTACAGTTAAACATCATAGGGCTTCTGAATCATAACCAGTGCAGCAGCATCAGTATAAAAAATGTTTAGCATATATTATCCCATTAGTTCTCACAAAAACCCACTATGAAAGGTATTGCCATTCTCACATTATAGATGCGAAAACCGAGGTTTAGTTAGAGGAGGTGAAGTGTAAAGGGCTAATGGTGAGTAACTGTGGGGGCCCGGCCTGGGCCAGTCTCACGCTTTTAACCAGTCTCACGCTCTTAATGCTGCCTATAAGACAAGAAGCCCAACATGATAGACTTCATGAACTTCAGCCTTCCGGGACGCCTGGGATTTCAGTCCATGGTCTTGTTTCTGACTGTTGGGGTGCTCATGAGTATTTAAGCGACTTCCCTTTCACAGTCAGTCCTGGGGAGCCTCAGTGGCACCTTTTCTCCAAGTAGAAGGCCACATCCTCCAAACCCCATCCAGCTCGCCCGCAGCCTCATGGGGCTGGAGGGTGCAGACCTCAGAGTAGGTACACATTCTGAGGGTGCCAGCTGGCTAGATGCATTTCCAACAACCGAGGGTGTATGAGCTATTTTAAACAATGCTCAGCAGAGGCATATTTTAAAATTATGCTCAGTCTGTGAAGTCTCCAAAAAATTTTATCAACTCCTGATGAAAAATCCAATATGATAAATCCAAACAGAAATGAAAAAAATTAATCTTCCAAACAGGGGAAACGTCCACAACATTATATTCTGGTTAATAAGGAAACCTAGGCCGGGCGCAGCGGCTCACACCTGTCATCCCAGCACTTTGGGAGGGGGTGGGTGGCTCACCTGAGGTCAGGAGATCGAGGCCAGCCTGGCCAACATAGTGAAACCCCGTCTCTACTAAGAACACAAAAATTAGCCGGGCGTGGTGGCACGTGCCTCCCAGCTACTCGGGAGACTGAAGCAGGAGAATTGATTGAACCCAGGAGGTGGAGGTTGCAGTGAGTGGAGATTGCGCCACTGCACTCCAGCTTGGGCGACAGAGCCAGACTCTGTCTCAAAAAAATTTTTTTTTAATTTAAAAAAAAATGAAACTTTTTCAAACATGGAAAGAAGGCAGAATGCATGTTGAAATTGTCGATTTCATCATCGTCATTGCTGCTACGTGGCTGTGGCTGTCAGCTCAATACTAAGCCTGTGAGGGCTGGAACGACATGGGAGCTGGGGACAGTGAAGGGGCAGCTCTCCCCTTGGGGTTACCAAAGTAGGGAAATGGCCCAAGACCCGGCCCTGGGCCGGCAGAAGCAGGCGTGAGGTGGCTGGCATCCCCAGCCGGCACTAAAAACAAAAAGAGAGAGCTTTATTCAGCACCTAAACCACCTCCCACTCTACCCCCACCGTCACCAAGGCAACGTGGTCAGGACTGGCAGCTCACGTCAGAGCCTCGGCCATCCTGCGCACTTGGCCCACCACAAGGCTGTGTGCCCAGAGCCTGCAGGAGAGGCGCTGTTTCCTAGCTGTGCAATCTTGGGTCAGTAGCTTATGCTCTCTGAGCCTCCGGGTCTGTATCTGCTAATGGAGGTGAAATTCCCTGCCTCCCACCGTGCTGTAACAATTACACACAGGAAGGCAGAGAAACAGCACAACAGCTGCAGGAAGAACCCTCAGTCGAAGCCCCTGCCTCTCTCCCGGGCTGACCGGTCTCCTCCTTCCCTTGACCCCTTCTCCCTGGCCCCCAACCATCACCAGCTTTTCTTACTCACTTCTCCACTGTGGCTCTCATTATCTGTTTGTTTATTTCAATAAGATTTTCCTCAGGTGGACATTTTTAGCCTGACAACCACTCATCTCCAGGGTGACCCTGAGCTGAAGTGACTCCTAAGATCCTCAAAGCCCACTCACAAGTTTTAATGAAATGATTATGTCCTTATTCCCAGCCCAGAGGAAGGCAGTTCAAAGTCATTGGTTTTGAGGCTCTCTTCCTAATAACAAGTTAACTGTCAATTCCCTACATAAATCTCATTGAAGAAATGAGTTGAATACTCGATGTAGGCCTTGTTTCCACCTTGTGGAAGGGAAATAAAAACTGGTATTGAGAAGACCAAGACCCTCATCACTTTGGTGCTCTCTGAATGTACCTGTGTTTTCCTGATCTCAAACAGACATACAGCGAGGAGCTGACGACACAATTCTAACAAATACAGAAGACGCAAAGAACAGGTAGGTCACAGTGCCGTCTGCCTCCCGCAAAGAAGCAGGAAGTCTTCCGGGCAGGGGTGAGGATGGGGCTGACACCAACGCAGACAGCACGTTCCTACATCACCAGCAAATCATGGCACCAAAGAAGACTTTTTAATAAAATCTGATCTTTAATATTTCAAAATACGACAAAAACAAATAATAAAAAGCCTTTAAAGTTAAGGTTTATGGCGAAATTTAAAATGTTGGCAGTTTCCTTAAGCTTATTTCATCATTTAGTATTTTCATGTTTAATAACCATTGGGGAAAGGGTTACAAGCGTAATCTTTTCAGTATTTCAGCACTCTACAACCTTTAAGCTGGCTCCATTATGGCTAAACAAACTCACATTTTGATGCTGTGTGAGCAGACAGGCCAGGAAACCATGAGGATAATAATACTGAACCACCAAACAGAGATAGCGAACTGCATTCTCTGACATCTCCGATCCAGTAAAGCCGACAAGGGTGCACACATCTCTCCCTTTGGTCTGGCCTAGCCCACCTACTCTGCCTGGGTCAACTGATCCAGTAAGAGTGATGCCTTCCACCACTTAGCCTAGGATGAAACACTGTCTTTGGCCCCCTGAGCAAAGCTCCTAATCAGTGAAGGTCACCAACCACAGACAGATGGGCCAAAACCCCAGGCCTGGGGAGTCCCAGTGTCAGAGACAGGCTATCTCAGAAAACCAAGGAGATGCGAAGTGATAGCAACCAGAGCCAAAGGCCACGTAGCAAAACACGTGGGCATGAGAACTCTCCTGCAAATGCTAACTTAATTTCGCACACATGCCTACTAGCAAGCCGTGCACCAACTGGCAACTTATTTTGCAGTGGCCTATGCCAACCAGGGTAGAAACCTCCTTGGGAATCGAGAAATTGCGACTCTATTCATGGTGGAATAAATAAATGCAGCAGGGGAGGTAGCCAGTATTTAGAGTCAGGGGACCTGAGTGTGATTCTTGATCGTTGATCCTCATCCCTTTGGTCACGTCACCTCTGCCATGCTCAGCTTCCTCCTTTGTCAACAGGACGTACTGACATACACGCCGGCCCCACAGGGGTGATGGGAGACTTCAGGAGGTGATGGATGTGGAAGCCTTCTGCAGGGCAGATGCTTAGGCATTGGATATCAGTCCCAGTTTTATGGTTCTGGAAAATGGGAAATGGGGCCACTTGTGCACGTGCCTTTAACCACAGTGCTTCTGATTCATGGAAACTAACGTGGCATTAAGCACCCTAGAGGGATCGCCAGGAGTAGAGCTCAGAGGAAGCACTCTGCTGCCTCTATAGTGGCCACAGGAGCTTACTTTTTGTGGGGTGGTTCAGCGAGGGGCTGCTCAGGGGAGCAGTTTAGGGGGACACAAGCAAGTGGCCGTTCATTTTCTTCTGCATCTCAGATACCAGAAACTGGGCTCTTTTCTCTTTGGTAGGCCCCTCCCTCTCCTACTCACTGTCCGTGAAGTGCCCTCAATCCTTGAGTTCTTGGAGATCCTGTCATTGCCAATCCTAGTTTCTGGTAAGGAGTGCGAGGAAGGCGGGAGAATCAATATGGCTGGATTTTAAATCTCTCATTTCTTTGATTTTCATAAAGGATGCCAAATGAACCCAGGCAACTTCCCCAGTTTGATTCATGCATAATGGACCTGAAGAGAGACTTATTAGAAAACAAATGCACTTAAATGCTTTTCTGACATGAATCATTTATTGAAGACAGAATTGCTGGCTTCGAGTGCCCAAACTAAGTTGACATGCAGTATCCTTGTTTCTAGATAGCTCTGAAAAATGGCCACAAGAATACTGAAGTACTTGGATATGAAGGATGCCTTTGAGGGCATTACAGACTGGCTATTCCTCGAAAAGTTTCATTAGCAGCAGCAGTGATCAAACATGTGTCAGGGCCTTCTCTCTCTTCTTACTTCAGTCATCAAGCTCAGAGCAAAAGATGCTTGGAGAAGTGATGAGGTTCTTTCCAACTTTTAAGCAGAATCCAGGACAGAGTTGTTTAATTCACGCATACATTCATTCGTCCACTGAGAAGTATATTCATTCATTAGGTTCCCATCCAAGGAGCTACCCGTTCATTCATTCAGCTAAAAATTCATTGATTCATATTTAAGTTCTACTATATACTAACATTGCATTAGACTTCTGAGCATAGGCACAGGGGATTCTTTTTTTTTTTTGAGACAGAGTTTCACTCTTGTTGCCCAGGCTGGAGTGCAATGGAGTGATCTCAGCTCACTGCAACCTCCGCCTCTCAAGTTCAAGCGATTCTCCTGCCTCAGCCTCCCGAGTAGCTGGGATTACAGGCATGCGCCACCACGCCCAGCTAATTTTGTATTTTTAGTCTAGATGGGGTTTCTCCATGTTGGTCAGGCTGGTCTCGAACTCCCAATCTCAGGTGATCCACCGCACCCAGCCTAGCACAGGGGATTCTTACAGAGCCCCTTGCTAGGTTTTAAGTGGTAAGTACCATGCCCAATAAACTAAAGCACTTACTGAGTAATATACCCTGGGCCGGGATGACTTCCACCCCTTCCACTTCTTACAGAACAGATGCTCAATAAATACTGATTCCATCTGAGTCTCTAGATGACCTAACATAATTTAATTTTCATAGTGGTAACACTGAACTGTCAAAGACAAAGCAAAAGTAAGAGCATAAACTGATAAAGTCCTGGGCTTCTTTCCCATTAACATTAAACACAGGGCAGATGACACACCAAGTTATTCTCCCTGCAAAATCCACGCAGATGAACCCACAAGATTGCTCTCCATACCTTTACATGCTGTAAGCAGCCAAGTTGAGTCCTCTTCCTACCAGCACTGAAACTGCATGAGGCTATATGTTAAACTGACATGAAATTACTCAAATAAAAGCAAATTACCTGCGGAATCCCCTGTAGAGGAGGAACTCAGATGTCGGTTGAGGAACACAGAGGTGACTTTTTTTAAAACAAAGAATCTTCTGTTAAAACACAAATCCAGTGAAACTAAAGGAAATTATACTAGCCGTGTAAATCACTTAGGCAAAGCCAGGAATTTCTTGAAAGGTAAAGTCACTCCATTATAACAGTAATTCATTATACAAAATGCATACAATTCTAAAATGCAGACATTTTACCACCTAGAACAGCTATTGACAACATTTTGATTTGTTTTCTTCTATTCTTTGGCGAATGCATAAAGCTTTCCCCTCCCCTTTGCTAGATAAAACCATTTCAGAGGCTTTTTTTATTTTTAAATATATAGTAGTTGAACTCCTTCATGTTAAAAACTCTCAATAAAGTAAGTATTGAAGGAACGTTCCTTAAAATAATAAGAGCCATCTATGACAAACCCACAGCCAACACATCATACTGAATGGGCAAAAGCCGGAAGCATTCCCCCTGAAAACTGGCACAAAACAAGGATGCCCTCTCTCACCACGCCTATTCAACATAGTATTAGAAGTCCTGGCCAGGCCATGGTGGCTTACACCTGTAATCACAGATTTTGGGAGGCTGAGGTAGGTGAATCACTTGAGGTCAGGAGTTCGAGACCAGCCTGAACAACATGGTGAAACCCCATCTCTACTAAAATACAAAAATTAGTCAGGTGTGGTGGCACATGTCTGTAATCCCAGCTACTCAGAAGGCTGAGGCAGGACAATCGCTTGAATCCAGGAGGCGGAGGTTGCAGAGAGCTGAGATTGTTCCATTGCACTCCAGCCTGGGCAACAGAGTAAGACTCTGTCTCAAAAAAAAAAAAAAAAAAAAAAAAAAGTCCTGGCCACAGCAATTAGGCAAGAGAAAGAAATAAAGGGCATCCAAATAGGAAGAGTGGAAGTCAAACTATCCCTGTTTGTAGATGACAGGATCCTACAGCTAGAAAACCCCAGTCTCAGCCCAAAAGCTCCTCAAGCTGATAAACAACTTCAGCAAAGTCTCAGGACACAAAATCAATGAACAAAATTCAGTAGCATTCCTATACACCAACAATAGACAAGCCAAGAACAAAATCAGCAACAAACTCCTATTCACAACTGCCACAAAAAAGAATAAAATACTGGCTGGGCGCGGTGGCTCACGCCTGTAATCCCAGCACTTTGGGAGGCCGAGACGGGCGGATCATGAGGTCAGGAGATCGAGACCATACTGGCTAACACAGTGAAACTCCGTCTCCACTAAAAATACAAAAAATTAGCCGGGCATGGTGGTGGGCCCCTGTAGTCCCAGCTCCTCGTGAGGCTGAGGCAGGAGAATAGAGTGAACCTGGGAGGTGGAGCTTGCAGTGAGCCAAGATCGTGCCACTGCACTCCAGCCTGGGTGACAGCGAGACTCTGTCTCAAAAAAAAAAAAAAAAAAAAAAACTAGGAATACAGCTAACCAGGGAAGTGAAAGATCGCTACAAGGAGAACTACAAAACACTGCTCAAAGAAATCAGAGATGACACAACGAATGAAGAAATATTCCATACTCGTGGATAGGAAGAATCAATATCGTTAAAGTGTGCATACTGCCCAAAGTAATTTACAGATTCAATGCTATTCCTATTAAACTACCAATGACATTCTTCACAGTACTATTAATAGAAAAAACTATTTTAAAATTCATATGGAACCAAAAAAGAGCCTGAATAGCCTAAGCAAAAAGAACAAAGCTGGAGGCATCACACTATCTGATTTCAAACTATACTACAGGGCTACAGTAACCAAATGGGCATGGTACTGAACAAAAACAGACACATAGACCAATGGAACAGAATAGAGAGCCCAGAAATAAGGCCACACACCTACAACTATCTTATCTTCAACAAAGCTGACAAAAACAAGCAATGGGGAAAGGACTCCCTATTCAATAAACAGTGCTGGGATAACTGGCTAGCTATATGCAGAAGATTGAAACTGGACACCTTCCTTATGCCATATACAAAAATTAACCCAAGATGGACTAAAGACTTAAGTGTAAAATCCAAAACTATAAAAACCCTGGAAGATGACCTAAGCAATACCATTCTGGACATAGGAATGGGCAAAGATTTCATGACGAACACACCAAAGCAATTGCAACAAAAGCAAAAATTGACAAATGGGATGTAATTAAACTAAAGAGCTTCTACACAGCAAAGGAAACTATCAACTAAGTGAACAGACAACCTACAGAATGGGATGATATATTTGCAAACTATGCATCTGACAAAGGCCTAAAATCCAGCATCCATAAGGAACTTAAATAAATTTACGAGAAAAAACACACAACCCCATTAAAAAGTGGGCAAAGGACATGAACAGACACTTTTCAGAAGACATACATGAGGCCAGCAAACACATGAAAAAAAGCTCAACATCATGATCATTAGAGAAATGCAAATCAAAAACACAGTGAGATAGCATCTCACACCAGTCAGAATGGCTATTATTTAAAAGTCAAAAAATAACACATGCTGGTGAGGTTGCAGAGAAAAAGGAACACATACACCATTGGTGGGAGTGTAAGTTAGTTCAACCATTGTGGAAAACAGTGTCGCAATTCCTCAAAGACCTAAAAACAGAAATATCATTCGACCCAGCAATCCCATTACTGGTTATACACCCAAAGGAATATAAATCGTTCTATCATAAAGACACATGCACGCTTATGTTCATTGCAGTACTACTGCAGCTATTCACAGCTATTCACTATTGCAGCTATTCACAATAGCAAAGACATGAAATCAACCTCAATGCCCATCAATAGTAGACTGGATAAAGGAAATGTGGTACATATATACTGTGGAATATTATGCAACTATAAAAAATGAGATCATGGCCTTTGCAGCAACATGGATGGAGCTGGGGGCCATTATCCTTAGCAAACTAATGCAGAAACAGAAAACCAAACACCACGTGTTTTCACTTACAAGTGGGAACTAAATGATGAGAACACATGGACACATTGAGGGGAACAATACACACTGAGGCCTATCAGATGGCGGAGGGTGGGAGTAGGGAGAGGATCAGGAAAAATAACTAAGAGGTAGTAGCTTTAATACCTGGTGACAAAATAATCTGTACAAGAAGCCCCATGACACAAGTTTACCTATATAACAAACCTGCACATGTATCCCTGAACTTAAAATAAAAGTTAAAAATAAATATACAGTAGTTGAGATTTTATTTTAAATCTATTTTATATGCTCTTTTCTAGCCTTTAATGTGAAATCATATTCAGTTGCCATATTAGAATATAAATATCCTTCTCATAATTATACTAGACATATCATAATTATTACCTAATTGCCTCATTATTATATTTAGGCTTCTTTGTGTTTTTTCAAGAATAAATAGTGCAATGTTTAGCAATTCTGGGCACAAACCTTTTTTTTTCCTGAATTTTGGGTTATTTCTTTGCAATATATTCCCAGAAACAACATTTCTGCATTCCAGAAACAAACATTTTAAGGTACCTAGTGAATATTGACAAATTGCTTGTATTGCCAAATATTGCCAAAATATTTGTAGCTGTTTATATTCTTACTAGCAATATATATAAATACCCATTTCACTACATGTTTGTCAGCAATAAGAATTCTCATTTAAAAACAATGAAAAGCAAAATTAAATCTTTATACAGTCTTACATTAAACTGCATTTCTGAATGGCCATGAAGCTGCATGTTTTAAAGTATTTATTAAATGCTGTTTCCCCTCCATGACTTTTTTATTGATTGTGCCTTTATCCCTTGCATATTGCTTTCTTAAATAGAATAACATCTCGCCTATTCCATTTAGAGTGACCAACTTTTTCAGTTTGTTTATTTTTATTCTTAGCTTATTGGAGGTTTAAATTACGATGAAGTAAGAACTGTAATTTCTTTCATAATGTTTAAACTTAGGGCTTCCTTCTACGCTTATTTCTTATCCTGCAGAAAACTGATAAATGTTCACTCATTTTATCTAGTTTTTCTATAGTTAATTTTGTTTTTAGCTACTCAATCCATCTTACACTTATTTTTGGTTACAGTCCTCTGTGAAGATTTAAATGGATTTCCAAATAGCTAACCAGTTGTATCCAAGGCATTTGTTGAAAGATCCTTCTCTACCTCATTGATTCCCATGCAGTCTCTCCTACATCGAATACCAATAAACAGACATGAATTGAACTGTAGGGGTCAATTCTCTAACTATTCCTTTGATAGATGAGAAAGCTGACAGCTAGAGTGTTAAGTGACCTGCCTGTCACTCAGCTGGTCAGAACAAAGGAGGGCTCCACCAAGCTTGTGTGCCCCCAGCTCTTTCCTTGGCCTTGCTCTCTTGGCCTCTCCACCTGATCTCCTCTTCCTCTCCCAGAGGCTGCACAACGTTACCCTGCATTACAGACCAGCCTGTCCGGCCGCTGGTTAAAGACCCGCAGGGAGGATGGAAGCTGCGCCTGAGAGCTCCTGCAAGTTCATTTGTGCCAACGTATTCCCAGGTGGGAATGAGGGGAGCCAGGTGGATGCCAAGCCCACTTCCCGGGCCTTACGTTTCCCATTCAAACATGGGAGACGTGCTCTTGATACACATAAGGGCATTGATAGTTTACAAATCTACCTATAGGGCAGTTTCTGCAGGAGGAACAAAAGCAGAGAGGGGGAGCAGCCATTTAGATTCTTCTAAAGGGATACATTACCTGTTACAGATTAGGGAATGGAAGGCCTATGATGGTAGGGAATTGTAATTATCTTCTTAACCCATTTATGCTGGAGAGTATAATTTTTTGAATTTTTGCATGAGTGAAAAATCAGACCTTGGTGATGACCTTGAGCAGGAGGATATAAATAATTCCCACATGCTTAGCGTTCCAATAATGGAACACTAAGTTCCATAAGTGGGTTAATGGTTATAACTCAAGTGCCAGAACAGGAATGTGTGCAGCAGTAGAGGGTGTAACGAGGCCTCTAGAGGCCCCGAGACCACCTTCCTTTGACAAAACTACGGCCTCTGACATGGGGTTGTGGGTGGCAGTCAGTGACTCGTTTCTTGCAGTGGTAATAGGAGAGTCCTCTCTCCAACCCAGACATTTGCTTGATTCATGGTTATTTTGGGTAAAAGTAAATAAAAGTTTCACGTTGCGAATTCCCAAACTTTGGGGAATTCCTTCATAAACTAGATGAATTCTGTGTGTCTTGAATTCTGCTTTTGCTTTTAGGTTATGAGCTCCTTCAGGGTCAAATATATTATAAATGAATTAGAAAAAATTGTGAACAATTATAAATGAATAAATAGAAAATAATTATAAAATCTGAAAAGGAAGATTCAGCAATTTTGCTTCTTCTAGAATTCTTTGAAAATACAATTGGACAGGCACAGAAGCTCACGCCTATAGTCCCAGCACTCTGTAAGGCCAAGGCGGGAGATCTCTTGAGCCCAGGAGTTGGAGATTGGTCTCGGCAACATGGTGACAAAAAATACAAAAATAAGCTGGTCATGGTGGTGCACATCTGTGGTCCCAGTCACTCAGAAGGCTGAGGTGGGAGGATCACCTGAGCCTGGGAGGTTGAGGCTGCAGTGAGCCAAGATCACGCCACTGCATTCCAGCCTGGGTGACACAGTGAGACTCTGTCTCAAAAATAAAGAAAATACAATTAAGTCAGAACAGAACGACTTAGGAGGGTCAGGAAAAACAATGAGGAAGTGTGTTTAGTGACACAAAGATGCTTACAATACAGAGTCTACAAAAATGTATATGAGTCTGGGAGCTGTGGCTCACGTCTGTAATCCCAGCACTTTGAGAGGCCAAGGCAGGCAGATCATGAGGTCAGGAGATCGAGACCATCCTGGCCAATACGGTGAAACCCCGTCTCTACTAAAAGTACAAAAATTAGCTGGCATGGTGGTGGGCACCTGTAATCCCAGCTACTCAGGAGGCTGAGGCAGGAGAATCTCTTGAACCCCGGAGGTGGAGGTTGCAGTGAGCCAAGATTAAGCCACTGCACTCCAGCCTGGGTAACAGAGCTAGACTCCAACTCAAAAAAAAAGAAAAAAAAATGTATATGATATGATCCAACTTTTTTTAATTTTTTTTTTTTGAGACGGAGTCTTGCGCTGTTGCCCAGGCTGGAGTGCAGTGGCGCAATCTCTGCTCACTGCAAGCTCCACCTCCCAGGTTCACGCCATTCTCCTGCCTCAGCCTCCCGAGTAGCTGGGACTACAGGCACCCGCCACCATGCCCAGCTAATTTTTTGTATTTTTAGTAGAGACGGGGTTTCACGGTGTTAGCCAGTATGGTCTCGATCTCCTGACCTCTTGCTCCCCCCACCTCAGCCTCCCAAAGTGCTGGGATTACAGGCATGAGCCACCGCACCCAGCCAATATGATCCAACTTTTAAAAGGCAAAAATAATATGTATCTCTCTACTTAAATTTTAAAAATTATAAATATTTTATTTGTAATATAAATAAATATATTGCACCCCCCAAGATTGAAATTCATGTTTCCTTCTATGTTTTTATTCTTTTACTGTATTATTTAACATATGTATTCACAAACAATGTGCAATTTATAATGTCTGAATCCTTTCGTGAGCTCCTTTCTACATTCAACACTGCGATTTTGAAATGTTACATATCTAGTTTTAGTTATTTTAATTGCAAAGAGTATTGCTTTGGATGACTACCCCAAAATTAATCTATTCCCATACTGGCGGACATTCACATTACTCCCAATTTGTTTTCAGTGCTACAGACAATGCAGTAATGAACACTGGACTTGGAACTGCTGCCTCATTCTGACATGCACACCTCTGATTTTACTATATATTAACAAATTGCTTTTTAAAATGGTTGGACAATTCACACTTCAGGTGGATGTTTGGGGTTAGTGAGATAATAGGAAATACTCATTTTCTTCTTTATGCTTCTCTGTATTTTCTAATTATTCTATCAAAAGTATTAACCACTTGGTCAATATATTTAACTTTTTTTAAAAAAAGAAAAACTTTTCTACTGCATTTTTTAAGATCACATGAGTATGTTAACATATGTCACTTGATATTGAAAAAGCTCTGTGACTTACTAGTGGACCCATTGTACAGCTAAGAAAATAGAGGCTCAGGGAAGTCATGACTTATTTTCTTTGGTCACTAACCTGCTCAGGTCCCTACCTTCTCTGATCCTCAGCTTCTTCCTGTCATTCACATCAGCCTAACTGATAACACTATTGAGGGCATAAAGTAAGATGAACAATTAGAAATACTAAAACATATTAAGTGATTCATATACATATATACGTTTAGAGGCAACTCGTTCAGCGAATATTTATAGAGCCTCTACCGCGTGGCCCTGGTGATCTTTTCTCACGGCCATGTTCTTTATGTCCTTTCACTCCTCTGCTTACAGTAAGAAATAACTAAGTATTGGGAAATCGAGGAGAAAATGCCTTCTTACAAACCCTCCAGCTTCCATTCCACTCAGTCCTTCTCATGGAAAGCAGCATGGGTTAGCAAATCCTTAGATTTACTGAGGCTACTTACAACTTCTTCTGTTAATCCTTGGTTCTAAGCTTTAACATTCATTTAATTCTCAAAGATCTGTAAATACCGACTCAATTTAGAGAACAAACATGGATTCAATACTAAAAGCCAGTGTGTTTGGGTTTCACATCATTGTCTTCAAAGGACTTCCTGGTTTCTAAGAAAGCAAATCCTGGCAAGGCTGGAGAGCTCCAGAAATCCAGCGCCTGGGCTCACAAAAGCCAGCCCTGACTTCGCGAAGAAAAAGCCTCAAACTGCAGAACACACCCGGCAAGCTGTTCTTATCGTTCCGAGGCCATTGCAGAGCCAGATACGGTTACACAGCCCTTCTGAAGCAAAGATACACTAAGTCTAGACAGGCCCTGGTTCCCTGTGATAAACTCCAGATCATCACCACCACAGGGCCCTGCTCCCAGCTACTTCATCTTTCCCTGTAATACCTCACACATCCAGTTCTCCTTCATTAGCTCTATGATAATGGCTTGACGTAGGTCCAAAGAGCAAAGGAACTTGGATTTGAAAGTCCGAGACCCCTCTGCAAAATACCATTGCTTCTTTCGCTTCAGAAAAGATTTTGGGAAGTGAATGAAACACATCCAGCTGTAGTTCTTCTGATGTTAGAATTACCATATGACCCAGAAACTCTACTCCTAGGAATCTACTCAGGAGAAATGAAAACACACATCCACACAAAATCTTGTACACCCACGTTCACGGCAGCGTTGCTCTCGATAGCCAAAGGCCGAAACAGCCCCAGTGTTCATCAACTGATGCGTGGATAAATACAATACAGTATATCCATAAAATGGAATATTCTCCAGCCACAAGAAAGAATAAATTAATTACTGATACATGCTACAACATGAATGAACCTCAAAAACATGTTATATGAAAGAAACCCGTCACAAAACACCACATATGGTACGATTCGGTTTATATGAAAGGTTCGGACTAGGCCAATGCATGGAGACAGAAAGTGAACTTGTGGTTGTCTAGGGCTGGAGGGGGCAGGATGGGGGAGTGACTGCTGATATGTACGGTTTCTCTCTGAGGTGCTAAAAATGCTCTCAAAGTAGATAGTGGTGATGGTCGCACAACCATGAATATACAAAAAGCCATTGCACTGCACACTTGCAATGGGTGAATTTTATGGTATATAAATTATATCTCAATAAAGCTGTATGTAAAAACAAAGAAAAAAACACTGGCCCCACAGAAGACAAAACATAAGCAGAGTCAGCCTTCAGTCCACACAGCCATGTCAACACATAGAGGGACATGCTGTTTAGATGAAGGAAATGAGCTGCAGAAAGGAGTCAGGGAGTTTCAGCCTGCAGGAAAAAGCCACTCCACCCTCACCCAGGCAGAGCAAGGTGTCCAGGCGAGGCCGGTTGGCAGGATGTTACTGCCCACCACAGCACTTGCAGGAAGTAAAACAGATCCCCCTCAACTGAAATGATCTCGGAGACTGGTCCTTAAGTAGGACTGGCCCTTACCCTGGATCCTGAGTATAGGCAATGGGCAAAGCTGGAAGGATACGAAAACCTGGCTAACACCCTAAGTTTCCCAGGCAAGAGGAAATCAACCCCAGGCACGCATGGTGACGGCAGCGACCGCCACCATCTAGAAGAATTAGGCTTTGTGCCTAAGATTGGGGAAAAGTCTTCGGTGGATCAAATATTTTGTTCTCCTTCCTGTGAGGCTGCTTTGAAAAGCTGAGATTAAACACTCTGCTGATGTTCCTCACCACCAGCGCTGCTCTCTGCCGTGTGTCATGGATGAACACATTTGCTGTGTTCACATGAAATGTGGGGAGAAGTTCCAGGGCTGAAATACGTGACAGACATGACACTCGTGCTATGAAACCAGCTTCCTCTGATAGCCACACAGCGGAGCTGACACGTCCTCCCTGAAGCAGGCTCGGGAGGCAGAGACGGCGTCTGATGGCTCCCCCGGTCCCTGCAGCCTGTACACAGTCGACACTGACAAAGAGCGTTCCCGAAAGAAATCTGGTGGATTGCCAAAAGCTTCATTAATTAATGAAATCAGTGGGGAGATAAATAATTGAAGGGAAAGAAATGGGTTCATCAGTTTGGCAACACTGAAATTTTCATGCATTCTGCCTAGGAGACGAATAAGCCCACAAGACAGGCATCAAGAATGGATGTGCCTTTTCTCCAGTTTTAGGTCTGGGAGAGTTTCCACTTTCCCAAAAGTCAGCCTTTGGCATCACGTTGGAGACGCCTGTTGCGAGCTCCCTGCAGACCAGCCACCTTAGCCAGTGGGCGTGGAGGCAGAGGTCTTCACTTTTCCTCTAAGTCCTTACTAAGAATTTTCCTGTGCCCTAAATGAGATGTTGGAGATGGGGGGAAAGTGGCAATGAAAACAGCACTTGTTTCTAACATGAACTTTGGATCAGGATAAAAGTAGTAAACTTAAAATTAGATGAATGCTAAAATGTTCCAAATATCCATCACCCGGTGAATAAAGAAGCAAGAGATGGTACAGCCACAGGACGGAAGACCACTAACAAGAAGGAACCAGTCCCGGCTCCATGCATGCCACGGGTGGATCTCAAGCATATTATGCTAAATGAACAGAGCCAGACACAGAACAATACATAGTGAATTATCCCACTCATAGGCAATACCTATCAAAGGCCAAATTACAGACACAGAAACTGGATCACTGATTGTCTGAGCTACAGACACATGTGAGGATGGATCCTGTGGGCATGAGGAGACTTTTGGGATGAGAGAGGCGTTCTAAGCTGGATTTTGGTGATGGTTACACAACGCCAAATTTACCAAAACTCATTGAACTATACACTTAAAATGGGTGAATTTATGGTATGTAAATTATATCTTAGTAATGCCATTAAAAAATTAAATGAAGACAGAAGTTTTTAAAACTGCTGAAATCCAACATCAAAAAAATGATCAAAGGGTTCTTGAAATATGAGAAGTCAATTTAAATTAATTTTCTTCATGGAAATTAAAAAGGAATGTGGACAAGAAGGAGAAAGAGAAGAAAAAAAAAGGAAAGACAGCGTTAGTCCCACCTTCTATTTCATATGGAAGTGAATACAAGCTTATTCTGTTGTTCCATTAGCTATGAACCCATCTGGTCCCAATCCCCAGGTCACCATCATATACACAAGGATGTGGTGACGCAGTCTGTCAAATGTTTACTTTACAGGATCACCCTTGCTCTGGCACTTTCTCAACTGACTCACCCAGTAACGGTACCAATGAAATAAGTGAGGTTAACTCAACATGATTTAGTTTTGGCGCACACATCCTGGCTCCATGGGATCATTTATTACTTCCTACGTTAAAACACTTGGAAGGAAAAAACTCCTGCGTGCCAGAATGAAAGTTCTAGTATTTACACTTCTCAACTTTTAAAAACAAGGAATTTTACTTATCTCCAGTCTTATGACACTTTTTTTCCTCCATGAGACCTCAAAGACTGAGAGTGGCAGTTCAGAGATGAAAACTCTACGTCCATTGTCTTCCCTAAAAAGTGACTTCCCTTGGCTGCAATAACGGAAGTAACTCAAAATGACTGCACTCCCATCTTCAGGCTGTTCTATCCTTTCCCATTTGAAAACAAATTTCCTGCAAACGGGTTGGCAGATTCTCCAAATACCTGAGAGTATCCAACAACCATTTTTAGACTTTTGTTTTGTACAAAGTTATCTTCTCTGAATCTATAAACTTTTCCACCTCTTGGTGGAAATTTTCAAATGTATATTTATGTTCATGTCTTGAATCATAAGACAAGCAAAATACAGAAAGAAAAAACACAACTAAAATTGACACAAGAGAGCAATAACCTCTCACAGTCCTAGAAAACAGGAGAGTTCTCTTATCTGGGGCAACTTCAGCTTTGGACTTCACCACCTATATATGTTGGGAGATGGTTCTTATTTCTCCTCCCCACCCCACTCCCCGCAAAAAACACAGAAACACCATCCACAGAGAGTCATTACTCAAGCTAGGTTGTAGCAAGACTTGGTTGAAAGTTTAATCACATGGCTAGATGTGAAAGACTTGGGGACTATTTTACCACAAGCATTTAATTTTTTTTTTTTTTTGGAGAATGAGTCTCACTCTATCGCCCAGGCTGGAAGTGCAGTGGCACAATCTAGGCTCACTGCAACCCCCACTCCCAGGTTCAAGAGATTCTCATGCCTCAGCCTCCCAAGTAGCTGGGATTACAGGCGCCCGCCACCAGGCCCAGCTAATTTTTTGTATTTTTAGTAGAGACAGGGTTTCATCATACAGGCAAGGCTGGTATCAAACTCCTGACCTCAAGTGATCCTCCCGCCTCAGCCTCCCAAAGTGCTGGGATTACAGGTGTGAGCCACGGTACCCGGCCTTAAATTCTTTTCAATTGACAAATAAAAATTGTACATATTTATGGTGTACAACATAATGTTATGATATACGTTTACACCGTGAAATGATTAAATGAAGCTCGCTAACGTATCGATCACTTCCCATACTTATTTTTCTTATGATGAGAAAGTTTAAAATCTATTCTTTTAGTAATGTTTAAATACACATTATTCTTAGTTATGGTCACAATGCCATGTAACAGACCTCTGCACCCCTGAAGCTTTAACAGCACCAATCATCCTTTCTATACTGAGATAGTCCTAATATGACCTTGGCTGTCCGCAGCGCGTATGCTTTGAGTTGCTGGTGATCACGGACTTTTGTAGAGCCACCCGGTCTTTTGCAGGGCGGTCTGGAGTTGGTTGAGTCTAGAGTTAGTGAGTTTTCACACATGTGCCACACTACCAGCACGTGTGAAAACTCACTAACTCTATACTCAATGCAGGAAAGGCTACAGCATTTGCCAGGCCTGGTCAAAATGAGAATGTGGGGTTCCTTCTTCAAAAACTATCAAGAATTTCAACAAGGGAGAGCAGAGCCTTACCCCAACTGTGGGGTCCCAGGTCACCGCACAGTTCACATGCCCAGGAGGACTCTCTGGCTGAGTGGCACCTTGAGCTTACCAACAGGGCAACTCCTCAAATGTGACCAAGGAAGAGAGTTAAGAACTGCCGAAAGAAAATGAAAGTCTTCCGGACAGGGGTCCACTTTTTACAATGTCAGCACCTAGCTCCATGGTATCTATGTGCACGCTGCACCCCCAGGGCCGAGTCGTAAGTTCACCATTGAGTCACATCCTGGTTCTTGCTTCCCTTCTCAGACCCATCCAGGAGTTGCACTGGAGGAAACTTCCATTCACCTGGCGCTATACGTGTTTGGGGCTGGGGAGTCTCTGGAAGTGAACTGCGTGCCACTATAACAAGCCAAGAACAGCATGTGGGGACAGGGCTTTAACAAAAGCACAGTGGGATCCAGCAGCCTCTCACTGCTTCAGGCTTCAGTGAACTGCTAGGAAGACGGAGGGGCCATTACTCCCACCGCACATGGGAGTGTCCTCTTCCTCTTAGCCCTTTCCATAGGCGATGCCTTTCATTCCTGCAGACAGCGTTTATGAAAGAACCAGCCTGGGGAATGAACACTGACCAGTCCCAAGGAGCTTGTCAAACTGCAGGAAAGCAAGATAAGAAATTCAAGTTGTAGAGTCCAAGACTAACTGCTACTCTCTTGGAATGTGCAGCGTGGTTTGAAAATAAAAAGCCAGGCCTGGCACAGTGGCTCACACCTGTAATCTCAGCACTTTGGGAGGCTGAGGCAGGCGGATCACTTGAGGTCAGATGTTTGAGTTCAGCCTGGCCAACATGGTGAAACCCCATCTCTACTAAAAATTAACCAGGCGTGGTGGCACACACCTGTAGTCCTAGCTACTCAGGAGGCTGAGGCAGGCAGGAGAATCACTTGAACCTGGGAGGCGGAGGTTGCAGTGAGCCAAGATTGTGCCACCGCACTCCAGCCTGGGCCACAAAAGGAGACTACGTCTCAAAAAAAAAAAAAAAAAAAAAAAAAAACAGGATTCAGCCTGGGCAACATGGCAAAACTCCCTCTCTACACAAAATACAAACATTAGCTGGGTGTGGTGGTGTGCACCCATAGTCCCAGCTACTTGGGGAGGGCTGAGGCAGGTGGCTCACTTGAGCCAGGGAGGTCAAGGTTGAAGTGAGCTGTGTTTGAGCCACTGCATTCCGGCCTGGGTGACAAAGTGAGAGCCTGTCTCAAAAAAAAGAAAAAATAAATAAACGTCAGGGTTAGGACACCTGATTTCACCAGGCAGGGCCATGAGGAGGTCAGGAAATCTCCTTAGAGGAGTGCACACTGAACCACGTCTTCGCCTTCTAGAATTTCCTGAGCAGGGCTCACTCTGGTGCTCCGAGCTCGTGTATTCCGTTCCACCTGCCTGATGCCCTTCCCTCCCCCTTTTCTCCCACTGTTGACTTGCCAAACATGTGTTTATCCTTCCAACCCCTGCTTAAGCCAGCTCCTTCTCCTCCCTGCCTCCCGCTGAACAGTCAGGTGCATCTTTCCCTGTTTCTCATGGCCCCTTCTCTATTAGCCATGAAGCTCACTGTCACAGAATGTGGCCACTTACTGACTGCACGAGTCCATGAGACAAACAACAGAAAAGACCCGGCACAGTCCTGGGCCACATGACGTTGACAAGTGCTATTTCCCTTCGTGTGTATATCTGCCATCCCACGAAGCAGGCTTCCTCAGGAGCTGAGTGTCTTTCACCATCATATCCACAGCTCCCAGCACAGACCTGGCATGAGAGGTGGTTAATAAATATCCATAGAATGAATGAACTGAATGGTCAGTCACATTCACCACACTGCTCCAGGGAAACGCCCGGCTCACGGCTGACTCATGATGGGACCTGTCAGAGGGACGTAGCTGCTACCCTGAGACCGGGTAAGGCATCATCATTAACAAAGCCAACGGAGGGATATTTTACCTTCCACAAATCCAGCTAATCATGTAGTGTTTGTAAGCTACATTTGACATGGGACAAGTCAGTAATTGAGCTCTACCTCTTTTCTAGGAATACATGTTTGTAAGGGGGTTTCCTCCACCTGGTTTTGCCCTCTTTATTCCTTTTCTCTTTCTTTATGAGTGGACCTTCGGCTTCTGACTGCATTTTCCTAGCACAGAGCTGTGAATGCTGCATATCCAAAGAGGCTGGAGAGTGAACAGGCATTGACCTTCACACCTGGGTAGGGGCTCCTGGGCCAGAGACCCAGTTTGCCTGTATGAGCTGTGCAGCCCTGGGAAGACTGCTGACCCCCAGGCTCCCCATCTGTGAAATGGAGATAAGAAGAGTTCCTAGTCGAGGGCTGGTGGTGAGGATTATCCGTAGACCTTTGCCTGGTACATCATCTTAAATGTCGCTGTGGTCATCATTATCATCACTGTGCCATCACCACAGCCTGGGCCCTGGCTCTGGGTTTCTTTTTTTTCAAAGTCACCCTCTTCTGGCTAGCCACCCTCCTTCTATCCTGAGGTTCCAGTCCTCTCAGCCCATAATCATTTATAGAACTTAAAAAAAAATGAGCCTGAATTGGTTGGTCCAAGGTGGGGCCCAGGAAGTCCTTTTTAAAATGCTTCCTAGGTGATCCTCATGTGCAGGCAATGTTGAGAACATGGGTTAGACTCTGCTGCCAGGACCTGAAAAGCGTGATGGAGCTGCAGCCATGGTGGCCAGCTGCCGCGTCTGTCCCTGCCACACAGGGGCTACTTCCCACTGCTGTGTGTGAGCTCCCCAAACCCCAAACTCTTCCACAGCTGGCTCTATACTAGCTCATTCCTTTTTTTTTTCCCCCTCCTCATTATTCTCTCATAGCAAATAAAACTTGGTTTGCTTGTCCCTGGGCAAAGTCCCCAGCCTAGAGTTCCTCCTTCCACATCTTATTGTAAAAACACAGGCTTACTGGGGCTCTTAGGGGCTGAGTTCTCCCCTTCTGACCCACTGCAAGCTCTACCCCACTTCTTCCTTTGCTCAGAAGGTTTGGGTCCGATTATTCTTCAGTCCCACGGGGGAGTGAGACCCTCATAGTGAGGGGCACCCTTTGGGTAGCTTCTTGGGACTTGAACTGGTACATTTCACACGCCTCTTTTGTTTTGAGTTCAAAAGATAACTCCAGTGAAAAAAACCTCTAGGAGAACATGAGGATAACGTCATAAACAGTGCTGATGAAAGATGCCAGCGAGCCGTGAGAGCTGAGGTGGCCAGTCCTTGTCTGCAGGGAATGACCGAGGAAGAGAGGCCAGGAGGAGCAAAGCAAGCCCTGGGCTATTCCAGAGAAAGCGAGGGAAGGCCCACCAAGGCGAGTGACCAGAGGCAGAAGAGACAGACCCAAGCCACCCTCCATCCACCCATCAGACCATCAGAAGAGACAGAGAAGGAAAAAGAGCAAAGGCAGACATATTCTCGGCGGCGGTGGGCGGGGTGTTTCTCACACCTGCCTGCCCCACCCCACCCCACCACCAAGATTCCCAGCCACCTTGGATGCTTAAGGAAGGTGCATTTCCCCCGGTGAGGAAAGCTATATAGAAGCTGCTGAAGACCAGGCTCTCTTTAAAAAGACAAACAACAGGCTGGGCGCAGTAGTTCATGCCTGTAGTCCCAGCCTGGCCAACATGGTGAAACCCTGTCTCTACTAAAAATACAAAAAATTAGCTGGGTGTGGTGGCGGGCACCTGTAATCCCAGTTACTGGGGAGGCTCAGGCAGGAGAATTGCTTGAATCCGGGAGGCAGAAGTTGCAGTGAGCCAAGATCATGCCACTGCACTCTGGCCTGGACAACAGAGCGAGACTCTCTCGAAAAACAAAAACAAACAAGAAAAAGACAACAGTTCAGCCATTGGGGAAGACAGAAGGAATGGAAAGCAGGAGATAAGTCCTAATGTGGCAAAAATTGGAATGAATATAAATAATTAAAAGAATTAGGCACATTTAAAATATCTCTCTGGTCCTCTCCCCCGACCTCCTCTCAAACTTTAACCCTATTATTCCTCTAGAGATGGAGTCCAAATGAGGATTTCAGTGACCCCCACAACATCTTCATTACATCATCTGGTCTTAAGTAACTTCCAGATTTCCACATGATTTGGGGGGCTGTGATGGGAAGTTTCTGCACATTTTGAAACAATGGGAAGTCTTTTCACCCTAAAAGAAAATTCAGGAAAATTTCAGGAAAGGCAAGAATATGAAATGCAAGTCCATGTAATTCTGTTACAATATTTAGTAAAATCACAGTGTGCTCAGGCATTGCTAGCTCTGTGGCTTTGGGAGGGTTAGTTAACCTCTCTGTGCCTCAGTTTCAAATTAGATTAGAGAAAATAATTGGCAACCCACAGGGCTGGGGGCAAGCTGAAATGAGGTGTTATACAAAGCAGACAGCTTCTAGTAAGTGCTGCGTAACACATGTTGATTACAAAGTACATAAATGATCACCTTATAAGGTGTAATATGATAAGTGACCATTTGGGAAGAATATGATTGGAAAGTGACCTTCTTTCTCCCTATATTTACTATCTCAGGGCGTCAAAGACACCCTCCATACAACAAGTTACCAAACCCTCCTGGCTTTCAGACCTGTGCCTCTTCTGGGCCTCCCCTCCCAGAGCTGCAGGATGCTCAGCCTCTCTCTGCTTCCTGCCACGCCAGCCCACCTCATTCCTCTGTGGTCTAGGAAAACTCCAGCCTCCTGCCCTGTCCCACCTCACCCACTGGCCCACTCCTCTGGTCTCTGGCACTCCGTGAGAAGCGTGCACACTGGGACCAATACTCCCCACTTCCAGACCTAACGTGGGGGCTGTTCTTCTCTAGGAAGTATTTTAGGAAGCCCAGACTGGGCAGGGGTGGTGAGGTGGTCCCCCTGGCGTGCCCGCGCATCCCTGCCCTGCAAGTCTTATCCACTGCGTGGGAACCCCTCGCTGAGGCTTCCGTCTTGCCCTCTGGGCAGCAGGCTCCTCAAAGGCACTTGCAGGGTCGGCTCCCTCTTTGTATTCCTGCGGGCTGAATGCACGGGCTCCCTAAGAAACGCTGAAAGGGGATTCTGGAGTTGGGTGGGGAGTTGGAATAACTGACCCCACTTCTGTTGACCTTTGAGAGCCTGAAAGCGAGAAGGGAGAAGCGAGATGGGAAGATAAAAGGGAGGGACACAGCAGTTATGGAACCCCTAGGGTCACCCAGGACTAGTTATGGGACCCCTAGAGTCCCCCAGGGCTGGGGAGCTGAAGCCTAACTTCAGGCAGGGCAGGGTGCTGGTCCTGGGAAGGAAGTAAAGGTGGCCCCTCCTGTAAGTGAGAAGCACCAGGGACGGAAAGGGAAAGAAAGGCTTGAAATACCAGCAACTGTGGGGATGGATGCTAGGAGGCAAATTAATACTAGTGAGACCTGGTTGGTGGACTAGTACCCACTGCTGGACTGGGTGGTGGATTAGTACCCACTGCTGGACTGGGTGCTGGATTAGTACCCACCGCTGGACTGGGTGCTGATTAGTACCCACCGCTGGACTGGGTGCTGGATTAGTACCCACCGCTGGACTGGGTGCTGATTAGTACCCACCGCTGGACTGGGTGCTGGATTAGTACCCACCGCTGGACTGGGTGCTGATTAGTACCCACCGCTGGACTGGGTGCTGGATTAGTACCCACCGCTGGACTGGGTGCTGATTAGTACCCACCGCTGGACTGGGTGCTGACTAGTACCCACCGCTGGACTGGGTGCTGGATTAGTACCCACCGCTGGACTGGGTGCTGACTAGTACCCACCGCTGGACTGGGTGCTGGATTAGTACCCACCGCTGGACTGGGTGCTGATTAGTACCCACTGCTGGACTGGGTGCTGGATTAGTACCCACTGCTGGACTGCAGGGGCGCAGCACTCACTGTGAAGGTCAAGGAAACAGTAATGAAATCCCCAGGTGGGAGCAGGTTTGTGAGTGCCTCTCTCAATTTGTTCTTGAGATATGTTAATCTGTTCACTCCAGAGAGGTTTGGAAAAGGAGGCTCCCTTAGCTGGTGGGTGGGGAGGGGAACGAGGAGGGCCTGTCTGCACAGATCTGGGTGTGGAAGGGGTCCTATCAGGCCACCGAGCCTGGCCCATTTCCTCACTGCACCGGGCTGCCTTGGTGCCAGCATGACCCCCACGCAGACTTATCAGGGCAGAAAGCACTAAATATTTGAATACTTTACGGCCACGTGTCTACTTTTAAGTTGGTTTACTATTATTTTTCAATTCCCATGTAAAGTATTTCTTCATTTAAATTAATGAATTGCCACTTTGGTTAGGACCCTATTAGTCCTCAGAAATGGGTTTGCTTTGATCGGACCAACCGGATTCCTGAGTGTACCTGACAGAGCCGGGAATTCCCCCTCAAGCAGTGGTTCTCAGCTGTGGGCAAGTTTGTCCCTCTAGGGGATTTTTGGCTGTCACAAGTAGGAGTGGGGTGACTACTCCTGGCATGTAACAGTTAGAGGCCAGGAATGTGGCTGAGCATCCGATTCTGCACAGGTTGGCCTCTTCCACAATAAAGGATTAATGGGCCCAAAATCTCAACATCGAGATTGAGAAACACCTCGCCCTCAAGGAATGTCACCCTTGAGGCCCTGGCCAGGAGGCCAGCGATGAGGCAACCCTGATGACCTGACTTCTTGTGCCCATCTCTTCTCTAGGCCACAACACATATTCAGTGCTGGGTACTCTGCTCTATGCTACAAACGATGCGATCATACCTCCATGCCATGAATGAGCACCCAGTGCAGTTATGAAGAGAGGACTGTAATCATTGTCATGGCATGTAATTATGCATCTAGAAAGAGTGACTGTTTTATGAAGGGTGAATGGGGTGATGGGAGAGCGTCAGGAAAGCAGAGGCTGGAGGCAGATGCTAGAAATGGACTCACAGGCATAGAAATGGTTCCTATGCAGGCTACCCACACAAAAGGCCGAAGAATCTGCTCACCATCCGCCTTGCAACCTGCCCTTCCCCCAGCAGAAAAGAGACAAGAAAAGAAATGAGCCTGATGACTTACTCCTGGGACGCAGGACACAGTCTGAGATGATTGCATTGATTGTCTGCTGATGGCTGCAGTATCCTGGGAAGAAGATGTGCTTGCATAGACAGATAGTTCTTTAAAATTTCATCCGCCTCGGTTAACCTCTACCCACAGAAGACTGACAGCTCACGAGGAGCCCATGGAGATGGGCAAGAGACCAAATTTCACTCCAGGATCAATTCAAGTCTCCCATTCTCATTTCAGAGTTGATCTAAGATAAGCACTGGCAGGGTCTTTGCAGATAATAATCTGCCTTTAAACCCCGTGGTGGATTTGTGGAAAGTCCACTGAAGAACAGAAAGCCTCTGACTCCATCCACCCACCGCCTTGGGAACTCTGAGAGCAGCCACCACAGGTGTCCTTGAGAGCAGCTGCTCAGTCAAGTTCAATCCTGGGTTACACATTGGTTTTGAGAAGAGTTCATCTTTAATTTAATGTATGTACTGCATTGTCACTCAGATGGTTTTAATCACAAGGCCCTTTCCCTTCTCCCACCATCTCTGGCTAAACCATAATAAAAACAACACTCCCTGAAAACTATAGTAGCTTGTCTTATAAAGTACTGCTGTTAGTTTTTCTCCAAATTCTAAAATACTACCCTTTCTTGCAGTAATTTTGCTGTTCTTAACAACTGGGATGAAAGGCATGCAGAGGTCTACACGGTAGAGATTTGTTCATTATTTGAAAAATATTAGCTGGGGAACGGGCGCAGTGGCTCACATCTGTAATCCTAGCACTTTGGGAGGCCACACTGGGCAGATTGCTTGAAGTCAGGAGTTCGAGACCAGCCTGGCCAACATGGGGAAACCCTGTCTCTACTAAAAATACACACGCAAAAAAATTAGCCAGGTGTGGTGGCGCACCCCTATAGTCCCAGCTACTCAGGAGGCTGAGGCAGGAGAATCGCTTGAACCCAGGAGGCAGAGGTTGCAGTGAGCCAAGACTGCGCCATTGCACTCCAGCCTGGGCAACAAGAACAAAACTCTGTCTCAAAAAAAAAAAGAAAAGAAAAATATTAGCTGGGCATGTTAGTACACACCTGTAGTCCCAGCTACTTGGGAAGCTGAAGCGGGAGGATTGCTTGAGCCCAGGAATTCAAGGCCAGCTTGAGCAACAAAGTGAGACTGGCCTCTTAAAAGAAAGACCAGTCTCACTTTTAACATTTTAAACAAAACTAAAAAATAAATTTACCACATATCTGTTATGTGCCAGGCTCTGCACTGGGCATGGGAGACAGACTGTGGAATATGCCATGGCAAGGTGTGAAGGTACAGGGGAAAGCAGAGCCCAGATGATCTGGGTTAACGTCTCAGCTCTGCTCCTTCTTATGACCTAGCTGAGCTGCTTAATCTCCCTCATCTTTACTTTCTCTCTCTGTAAAATGGAGCACGATGAGAGTTTTCACACACTAGCTTTGTTATGAGGCTAAAATGAGTTAATAAATGTGAAGTCCATGTACTGGCACATAGGAGGCCCTCAGTGAAGGCAGGCTGTCATCATTCTTGCATATCCTGTAAGTCAGCCAGTCACCTCAGTGTCTCTAATGACCTCTGCAGGTTACCTGGCATAAACTAGACTGAGGCATCATCTCCTACAAGAATTTCTTTTCTCTTCTATAAAAAAACAAAACGGGATACATGTGCAGAATGTGCAGGTTTGTTACATAGGTATGCGTGTGCCATGATGGTTTGCTGCACCTACTGACCCATCCTCTAAGTTCCCTCCCCTCACCCCACTCTCCAACAGGCCCTGGTGTGTGTTGTTCCCCTCTCCTTACAGGAATTTTAGTGTCTGGCTTCAAACTAACATAAAATTCAAAATGCACCTCTCGTCTTGGAGGATCCCACACAGAAATGACCATGAAGTAGTTATGATGTTTAACCTAAACAGAGCAGAGATGCCCGTGCCAACCAGAGTTATTAGGAACAGCTTCATGCTGATATCATCTGAGTTTAAAATAACCAAGAAAAAGAAGAACTTGCTAAATGTTTTCTCCCAAGGTCAGCCAAGCAGAGGAGTGTGGTTTTCCAGAGGAACTTTGTCATGTTGTCCATATAATTTCCAGGCTGACGGTGGAACTTAAGTGGGGGAAAATAATTCTACTAAGAAGAGTTTCATGACATCAGAAAACACAGAGAAAGTGCTGCAACGAGGTCTCAACACTGTTCGTGTTGGGTCTCTAGAGCCACCACTAGTTTCTGGATGCACTGCTGTTACTATTAAGAAAGCTGTAGGGGGTTGAAACCCACTTGTTTTTATCAGAACAAGACAGAGACTTGCAGTGTATTATGGGAAATCAGCTCCAAAGGACATGAGGATATTCAGTGAACTAATGGGTATGTAATTGGACGCAGGTAGTTTTTCTTTTTTAAAATGCTATACTTTGAGTCGATGTGGGGGGAGCTGTTGTCACCTGGAAATCTATGAGTAATTCACTATGAATGGGAACCTTGAGAGATTCTCTCTCTCAGATTGTTCTTTCAGAAAGAGAATACACAAGCCTTCTCTTCCTCTGTGTCTCCTGCGTTAGAAATTCCACTCTTCCCATTTAGTTAATTAACAAATGTTTACCATCCTTATGCTCAACCAGCATGGAAGGTACAAAAAATATATAAAATGGACAACAGTCAACAGCTAACCACTTGATCCCTCCCTGCCCAGCACAGTTTATGCTGTGTGTGAACAATTTATAAAATTGTTCAATGAAAGAAGTATCCTGTTTCATTGGCCAATAAATGCTTCTATTAGAAGTGATACCGCCAGGGCAGGCGCGGTGGCTCACGCCTGCAGTCCCAGCTGCTGGGGGAGGGGGGCTGAGGCAGGAGGATGCTTGAGCTTAGGAGTTAGAGGTTGCAGTGAGCCATGATGGCGCCACTGCCCTCCAGCCTGGGTGACAGAGCGAGACCCTGCCCACCCCCCAAAAAAAGTCATACCCCCATGGTTTAGAGGCTGTCTCCACATTGTCTTCCTGATAGTTCTTAAGCTTCTTTAAGGAAAAACCAGTTTCCCGTTTATTGCTATATCTATAATATACAGTGCCTGAGACATGATACTCAACACTATTTGTTGAATAAATGAAGGGATTGGGGGTGGATAGAGGACAGATGGATGTATCATGTATGTGTGAATGGATGAAGGAATGGTGACTGAAAGGTAGGACTTAGGATCAAAGGAAGAAGTAGAGCAAATTAGATCGGAGAAACAAGATAACGACAAACAATGAAACCAATGGGAAATCTTTGTGGAGCAAGAGTGTGCCAAGGAAAAGAAGACAGGTAGATGGATTGTTCCATGACAATGTTGAAACAAATTATACTCCTTTTAAGATATTTCCTCTTATTCAGTCATTAGAAGAAAATGGGTATCTGCCAGTCATGGGGTTTCCCTTGTAAACCCATTTGAAAACTATAACTATTTAAACTGTATCTTGTTTTGCTCACAGTTGCATCTGTGGGACCTGACACCTATTAAACACGTAATAAACAGCTGTTGAAGAAAGAGTTCATGCTTTAAGCTTCCTCTTTCCTACAGCCTGGCAGCCACTGCAGACCTTCCCAAGCCCATGCATGAAGCCAGGTTTCAGAGTTCCAGCGCTTCCTTTCCAAACTGATTCTCACACAAAGAATAATGAATTTGAGTTGCCCAAGCTCTAGGAAATGTTACATGATTATTATGATTATATTTCAAAATAGGAGTGATGAAAGGCGTTTCACCAAAGATTTAGAGGTCAAACACCATTCAGAAATGTGAATGTGGGCCAGGCACGGTGGCTCACGCCTGTAATCCCAGCATTCTGGGAGGCCAAGGCAGGTGCATCACCTGAGGTCAGGAGTTCGAGACCAGCCTGGCCAATACAGTGAAATTCTATCTCTACTAAAAATACAAAAAAATAAAAAATAAATTAGCTGGGCGTGGTGCCACATGCTTGTGATCCCAGCTACTCGGGAGGCTGAGGCAGGAGAATCGCTTGAATCCAGGAGGGGGAGGTTGTGGTGAGCCGAGATCACGCCATTGCACTCCAGCCTGGGCGACAGAGCAAGACTTCATCTCAAAAAAAAAATAAATGTGAATGCGGCTTTGTCCCATAACCATCAGACCTCCTTTCCAGAATAAAGGAGACTGCACAAAACGTGTGACATTTACCAAACCCTCATTTGAGCATCCAATAATTTAAAACAATGGCAATGGCAGGAATTATGAAGATGACATTCCGGGTAAGTTCCTGGTTGCGTCTTCCCCAGTTTCATACCTGTTTAAAGTCTAGTGTAAGTCTGGCCTTTCGTTGTTAAGCTGAAGCTAAAAAAGTATTGGATTAGGAAGGATTCTGCCTTCTGTTCAGTCTTCTAACAGTCCTTCTTTTTCTGATTAAGAAAAACTTCTGTCCCCAATTTACATCTACTTATGCTTTCAACCAGCACAGAGTATACCTGCTCTACTTCTATACTAAAGACTGACTTCTCCCTTCTTGGAGTTAAGAACCCTGAACCATGATCCATTTCTTACCATCCACCTTTGCTATCTAAGACACCCTCTCCTTCTTCCCTTGAACCGTCTGCCTCCTCTCCTATAAAGCTTCAGCAGCAGGATGAAGACTCTCTAGTATTCTTCTCATACTAATTGCGTCTCCTTGACTGGCTGTTGCCTCCCCCTTCCTTCCAGCTGGGTGCTCTGCTCTTCTTTTCGCCACCCGTTTGGTGGATTTTAAGCTTGAGAGCACAGACTACAACTGCTGCCTTCTTCACCAACTTCACAGCAGAGCCTTGCAGACAGTAAAATCCCAATAAAATGACGGCTGACTCACCCTCTGGGTGTCACCTCTGTCAGCCTCTTCCATGGGACCCTACGTTTACTTTATACTCACAGCTCCACTTACCTTCCCTAGGCCAAAGCTGCTAACTGCTTTAACCTCTACTCAGCATCTGAATATCAGACAGTGTTTTGTTTGTTTATTGGGTTTGGGTTTTTTGTTGTTTTTGTTTTGGCTGTGCTTCTGAGGAAGTCTTGCTCTTTTTCCTTTCAGTTCTATTCCATTAGGCTTTTTGCTGTGAAATTTTGAATCTGGAAACTCAAGAGAACCGACATCGCAGACTTTGATTTACATGCTGTCAATCTGCTTTGGAAGGTCATGTGGCAAATCTGCCCTTGAGGACCATTTTCAGACAGGAAAAACAGTAATTTCAGCCTGGCTGCTTTTCAGAATTCTTTGCAAACATCAGATGCTCACAATCCAACCGTTTCTCTGTGTACTAACATGTGCTTTTCAAAATGAGTGTCATATTCTTTTTAGTAATACTTTTCTGTGTGTTATGCCCTTTAAATAGTTCTCGTCTTTAACTCCATGTGGCTCTGGTTTGTTTTGTGCCATGCTATTTTGCCCCATTTTCAGGTAACTTTTCTACCTGAATTACTTAGGACCTCTGGATTTATAGCAGATTTGATAAGACATAGATGATAGCATATTTAGATAAGGATCACAGCAAACAGAACCTCACTGAAACCACCCATTCTTCCTGCTTCCACATGGCAGGGTTGCTCAAGGTTTATAAGTAATGATTTTGGCTTTAGCAGCCGGAAGGTATGAGGGCTAAGTGACCTTCACACATGTTTATCTTAAATTATAGATAATTTTAAGAGTCATGAATGGGATTACTACTTATCTATTTTATAAAAGCTAATTATTTGGGATGCCCATCAGAAGAATGGTATCCCTTATCAAACGCTTCCTTAGACGTACTGAATAAAAGCATCAGTTTAGCCGGTACCTGTTAAGAGGCTATGTCTTTCTAAGAGATGTGTTATTTGATTCTAATTATAATTAACTTTGCTTATTACTAAGTAGATAATAATTTTCTCATTTCATATTTTTTCTGAATAACAGTTTTTCTCCCCATAGAGAATATTCAGAAGATGGAATCCTTTTAACGTAGAACTCAAGATGTGCCCTGTTCTCCCTGCCCGCCTCCCATTTCCCTAAACACACACACACACACACACACACACAAACACACACATTCTCCCTTCTCTCAAGATACTTTTTTTCCAACTGAGAGTCGTTGACTAATCACAGATGAGTTAATCCTTCCACAGTTTTGAAAAAGTCTAGCAACCCTCACCTTGAAGAGAGTGAATAGCGTGGCTAATCCATCTAAGAACAATGCACGAAAACGAAAAACGGAGAATCCTGCCCGGCAGTTAATTTGTTACTCATACTTGTTGAACTTAAGATTTGGAGCTAAATAAGTGCAGATGAGAGCAAAGACCCATCTTTTAAATATTTAAGCTTTTAGGCAAACCTGGGCAGGCAATATCACATTTATCAGTGCGAATTCTCCAATGCTCTCTAAAACTTTATTTCAATGATCTCACCTCCTGTAAGGAATTAATTCCCCCTTAGCTTGACCACAGGATCAATATCTTATCTTAAGAAGTGTTTAGGTTTTCTAAAAAAAGACCAGACACTGAAGACTTACATAAACATCAAAGCATTCTTTTTTTAATTCCTCGATATGGAGAAATTCATAGGCCGAAAATTAGGTAAATAGAGAGGTAATTACCAATGCCTGTTTCCTTGACAACTCCCCTCCCCCACCCCTCCTGTGATAGGGAAAAACCAAAATGAAAGTGAGGAGGGGTAGCCACAAGCCATGCTGGATTTTAGCAAACCAAAGCAAGAAGCAGAGCAGAAAGCTGCAAACTAGACACAAAATACAAATAAATCAATGTATATCGGGGCTGCATATTGTGTAGTATTTTTGTGGTTGCCATAGAAACGTCAGCGACGGAAGAACATGTTGCATGACACAAAAGAGAGCAATATGTAATAGGAACATTCCCCCCACCACCACCCCCCGCCCAGCTTCGTCTATAGCAGAGAAAATGCTTTAGCCCCGGGAGGGGGCTGGGTGGGTGGGTAAATGAAGCCAGGAACAGCAGCTTGAAATCACAGCCCAGAAAGGGACGCTCACCCGGCCCAGCACAAAGCGAGGGTCCTTTTGTACCAGCAGAGCCTCTCTTCGCCTCCCTCCAGGCGCCCCCTGCACCTTTCCCCCGCCCGCCTTGCACTCCCCCCCCGCCCCCGGAGCCTACCCCTTCCAGAGGTCCTAAGGAAATCCAGCCCAGGAGAGAAAAATATGCTGGGAAGAGGAATGCAAACATCAGCCACACCCAGCGGGGAAGGTGCCTGCGAACGGCACCAGGACCACATACCTCCTTCCTGGCAGCCTTTGGCACATGGACTTAGAAACCAGAAGCTGAGATGGAGCCGGCTGGGTTCAGAAATTGCCACTAGTTTATAAGAGCTGTAAGTCAGCCAACACTGGAAAGAAAAAGCGAGACTCCACCCATGGGGTGGACCCTTCAGGAAGAAAAAAAAAAAAAAAGTGGTCCTCAGCTGACGTCTCTCCCCACCCATGTCACTTCCTTTTAAAGCTACAAGTTAGCAGTTGCCGAGAGGGAAGAGCGAGCTGGTGTAATATGAGTCACTCCCTTCCCCTTCCAATTAGTGTAAGGCAGTGCTTCAGTTGGCTTCACGTTTGAAATCGCTTTTGAAATCTGGCTCGGGAAGCTGCCAGGATAAAAAAAAAATGAAAGCCCCCTGGAAGTGGCCTTGCTTTCTCTCCCCTTTCTCCCAAATCCTGTTGCATCCCTGCGCCCTAACGGCTCCTCTAACCTCAACCCAGACTCCGGCTCCGTCTGTGTTGCAACCTGGAAATTGTCCTCAGTTGGCTCATTTTTAATTCAGCAAGCGTAGGATCAATATGCCCACCCTCAAAACTCTCCCCTCACCTCTCCTCGGTCCGCTGTGCTGGAAGGAGATTGCGTTGCACTCAGAAGAGTCCAAATCATCTTAAACAAAATAAGCCTCAGCACTCAAGAGATTGAGATGTTATGAAGTGGGATGAAAGAAGCTTGGAGGTCGATTGATGTATTTTCTGTTTTCAAACCTTAGCACCATGGTTGATTACCACTGCACAGGCGTGCACACACGTACTGTCGCATGCTCACATGCACGTGGCATTTACACAGGTGTATCAGAGAGGGTCTGGGCAGACCTTTATAGTAAAAGTGTCTTCACAATTTTTAAAAAGGGTGGGCTGTTGAAAGTCCAGAAATGCCAGGATCTAGAAAATTATTTCAATTTCAAAATACTGAGGTGTATTCCTTTCAAATGTCCACTATTACAGCCATTGTCAAAATAATATTTAACTATTTACTTGACTCCTGGGTTAACCTTGTTCTTTAGATGTTTATAATCTATAAAGGAAAAATACATGTGCTCACAAATAGCCCAAGCACATTGCAGAATTACTAACAGCTATGCAAGTGTCAAAACCAGTGTGTCATGAAGACAGAATAGAAAGTGCTTTTTTGATTGCGATGGGGGAAGGCATTGATCATTCAGGAAACAGGGTTTGGAGTGGGTCCTATGGGAGGTGGCATTTTTCTTGTCTGTGATGAGAGACGGGGAGAGTGAAGCAGAATGTGGTGGAAGAGAAAGGATATGTGAGGCAAACAAAAAAAGGATCAGAACAGAAACCCATTTGTAGCAATAACTTGTTTTAATATCCATGTGAAAATAAATTTGACCACAGAGTAATGCTTATAAAAGATTTTTATAAAAAGTTCCTTGTAGTCATCATCTCTCGTAACTTTTCGAACTATGTTTTACGACCCATGTGCTTCTAGATTTGGTGGAAACTTGAGTTTTTCAAAGTGTTTTTCAAGTAGAGTTACACTGTTTTTCACGGTTGAATTCTGAATGGTAATTTATTTCAAAACCTACAAATTGCATAAATTCCTGATAATGTTATAAGTACAGTCAGTGATTTCAGTGGAAATGATAGGAAATTTAAAATTTGGACAATTGTAACTTTTATCCTGATCTCAGTACTTTAACATCCTCATTCCATTATTACATTACAATTATTATTATACTTATTATTGCTAACACTTTGCCTGTCTAGACAATGTTGCTCAGTCCCAGTTATCTCAGATATAGCTGAGAAATATGGGAGAAAAAGTTACTATTTCTAAAAATTTAACATAGAAATTCAAAATTCATGGATTAAATCCTATGCTTTTTTTTTTGAGACAGAGTCTTGCTCTGTTGCCCAGGCTGGAGTGCAATGATACGATCTCAGCTCACTGCAACCTCCACCTCCTGTGTTCAAGCAATTCTCGTGCTGCAGCCTCCCAAATAGCTGGGATTACAGACATACACTACCACACCCAGCTGATTTTTTGTGTTTTTGGTTGAGACGAAGTTTCACCATGTTGCCCAGGCTGGTCTCTAACTCCTGACCTCAGGTGATCCACCTCCACCTCCCAAAGTGCTGTGATTACAGGCAGGGAGTCACCACGCCCAGCCCTATGCACATTATTGAGTGCCATTTAGAGTCTATCCTTATGTGCCCTTATTTAGCTATTTCTATCTATACAAGGAATTGTGAATATTTCCAGGTCACAACGTAACAACTCAGTTCAATGTATGTTTATTGAGCATCCATGTTAGTTGCTGAAGATACAAAAACACAGATAAGACATGGAAATGGCCCCAAAGTGCTCAAAGTCTTAGAAGGGAAAGCGAAATGTAAACAGTTAAGACACAATGGAGGCAATGATTGACATTTGTACAAGATTCAGAGGTGGTTCGAGAATGGGAAAAGGAGAGGGAGGATACATCTACATAGTTTCTTAGCTAACAGTGGACTCTAAAAGGGGTGGAGGTGGACAGTATACTCATCCGTGAGATGGTAAGAAATAAATACTGGCAGTTGGAGAGAGGAGAAAAAAATTGAAAAGGAGACACAAATCATAAATTGGTAACCTAAAAAAGATATATAAGTGGTCCGTAAACAAAGAGGCAACCTTACATAAAAATACAAGTCACAAAGTAAGGATGTTATTTCTTTGCCTAGTCACTTGTCCAACACTCAAAAAGCTAGAACGTGCAGTGCAGAGAATGCAATGCCATGGGTTCTCTCTTCTGCTGGTGATGGCAAATTGATACAATCTCTGGAATTCAATTAAAGAAGATTTTTCATGAGCCTTTAAAATGTTCATACCCCTTAATCCAATAATTCGACTCAGAATAATTTATACCAAGGACATAAGCAGAGATAAATTCAAAGATTTGGGAACATGTATATTCATCAGAGCCATTTATAATAGTAAAGTCTGGAAACCATCTGAGTGTTTGAAGTAGCAGGTTAGCTATGGAAATGATGTAATCTTCATATGATGAAACACTCTACAAAAAATTAAAATTCTGTGTTTGAAAGACCTAGGGAAATTCATGGTATCTTAAGTGTAAAGGGAACTAAGCTTTATATAAATTATGGTCCCGTTTTCGTGATTCTATAAATATATATTACAGTGTGTGTAGTGGGTTGAATAAGTGTCCCCCAGTGTCCCCCACAAATTCATGTTCACCCAGAACCTCACAATATGAATTTGTTTAGAAACAGAGTCTTTGCAGATGTTAATCAGCTGAGACGAAGTCATTCTGGATTAGGATGGGCTATAGACCCAATACCTGGTGTCCTTATAAAAAGAGGAGAGGATGCAGAAAGACACACACATAGAATAAGGCCATGTGATGGCGGAGGTAGAGATGGGAATGATGTGTCTATGAATCAAAGATTGCTGGCAAACACCAGAAACCAGGAGAGACGCATGGAACAGACTCTCTGAGAGCCTCCAGAAGGACCCAACCCTGCTGATGCCTTAATTTTAGATTCCTGGCCTCGTGAACTGTAAGAGAATAAATTTCTGTTGTTTTAAGTCACACAGTTTGTGCTAATTTGTGATGGCAGCTCTGGGAAACTTAATGCAGTGTGATGAAGATCATGAAACTGTTAATAATCATTACTTCTGGAGAGTGAGATTGAGGATGATTTTTATTTGCTTCTTTATATGTGATTGCACTTTGGAGAACTTTCTACAATGGATGAACACGTGTGACTTTTACAGTAACAAGATTAGGACTAAAAACCAAATAACCTAGGTTTCTGAAACTGTTTCTGCAATTTAGAACAGACATAAACAATAATCAGTGATGCTTACGACACGGTGAGTCCTGAGGAGTAACATATTTTCAAAGCCCAGTGAGAGGTAGAATTCTGCATATCTCAGAAACTTCTTTAAACCTAAGTTTTGGTACTTAAAATGATAACTATCACTTATCTGAAATGTGAACTTACACACTATGTATTAACTGTTGTGCTAGATAGTGGAGTCACTGATGGCATTGTTACAAATTGCCCATTCTGTTAGCACAATGTTATTACACATTAACAGTATTTTTGCTTTATTTCCACTTGCCTCGTGTTGTGAACATTGATACAACATCCACACAAACCTATACACTGAGTTTAAAAATGTTCTCAAGTTATACAATATGAAGATATAGATTTGCAACTATGATGACCTCATTATGTGCTACATTGGAAATTGTGGCTGCTTAGAGGAGACAAAGGAAAATTGTAAATGCTAAAGTTAATTTGATATTTGGGGTCTATAATCTTATATTTAATAGTTATATATGTCAATAAAAACCCAATAAAGTTCTTAAAATGTTGTATGTTTTTATGACCAACAAACTCTTACGGCTCTCGTTATTATTACAATCATTTCAAGTACGATCAAAGAGGTGTAACATTAATATCATTGGGGAAAGTGCAGAGGAACTAAGAAAAATTTCCTCCTTTGCCAACAATGGTTATGACCTAAGTTATTCCCATAAGATGGATGTATTTACAGAACCTTCGTTTCTATTGATTAGCTCTCAATGAATCTTAACACTGAATTTTATGCTAAAAATTGTTCTTGATATTTACTTGGCTTTTTTCTCTTATTGCCATCTTCAGGTCAATTCAGCCCGCCTGAGATGGCCCCAGAAAGCCACCCACTACCCTGTCCTGAATTCAGGCAATGAGCAACTTGAAATCATACGATACAGAAGCAAATCTACCACAACAGAAGGAACTGAATTCAAATCAATTAACGCATAACTGATTGGCAACAAATTGAAAAAGATACCAGTTTCACAACCTGATTTTAAAAGACAAGGTAATACGATGCCAATACTGAAACCTAGCACTTGTATTCTTCATAGCCAAGTGACAATAGAGCACATTAGTTCAAGTGGTATGAAACTTGGGATGATTTTTACTGTCATTGCATGGTATGTGATTTTTTTTTTTTTTTTTTTTTTTTTTGAGACGGAGTCTCGCTGTCGCCCAGGCTGGAGTGCAGTGGCGCGATCTCGGCTCACTGCAAGCTCCACCTCCTGGGTTCACGCCATTCTCCCGCCGCAGCCTCCCCAGTAGCTGGGACTACAGGCGCCCGCCACCACGCCCGGCTAATTTTTTGTATTTTTAGTAGAGACGGGGTTTCACCGTGTTAGCCAGGATAGTCTCGATCTCCTGACCTCGTGATCCGCCCTCCTCGGCCTCCCAAAGTGCTGGGATTACAGGCGTGAGCCACCGCGCCCGGCCTATGTGATTTTTTTAAGAACAATTTTCGTAAGCATGCATTACTTTTACAAACAGAAAACTAAAGCTATATTTGTACCAGCCTGGGCAACATGGCAAAACCCTGTCTTTACAGAAAACACAAAAATTAGCCAACCATGGTGGTGCACACCTGTAGTCCCAGCTACTTGGGGGACCGAGGCAGGAGGATACCTGAGCCCTGGAGGTCGGGGCTGCAGTGAGCTGTGTTCATGCCACAGCACTCCAGCCTAGGTGACAAAGTAAGACCCTGTTTCAAAAAAAGAAAAAGCTATATTTATTTTCTAAAATAAGTATTTATTGTTATCCATTGTTGACATAATGCTTTTCTTTATTTGGTAGTTGTTATAGCTTACAGCATGATGGCACCTTGGAGGGTGGCCTAATTGGAGTGCGATCCTGAGCCAGCAGCATCAGTATCACCTAGGAACTTGTTGGAAATGCAGAGTCTCAGGCCCCACCCCAGGTCTGGTGAATACATACTGCATTTTAACAACATCCCCAGAAGATTCACTAAAGTTTGAGAAGTACTCGTGTCAATCCAAATCCCTCATTTAACAGAGGAGGGATCAGAGCCAGGGAGGCTGGGTTTGCCTGTCCAGGGTCACACAAGTAACAGGAAGCAGCGCTGAACCAGACTCAGTGTTTAATGATTCTCACCACAGAATTCTTTCCACTGTATTTCCTAGGATTTCAGATCCAAAGGCAAGGCTGAAACAAAATTCTATTAACATGAAAGAGTAAAAAGACAATTTCTACTTAAACTCATGATCATTCTACGAAGTGTCATTGAAAGTCCATCTGTAGTACATGCGTTTTGAGTTTATATAGAGAGAGTCAGTTTTACACCCAAAAAATAGCACTGAAATTAGGCAACTATCAGACAAAAGTTGGCAGAAGGTATAGGAGATCTTTTCTCCAGGATCGCTCATTTTATCTTGGTTTAAAGCCAAAGCTATGTCTAGTTCAATGAAACTTAGCTTCAAGATTGATTTGCAAGAGAGGCAGCAGAAAAGAAAAGGATCCCAGCTGGCCTCCGTGTCTCTGTTCTTGCCCCCTCCAGTCTGCTTCTCACCCACAGCCTTTGCAAAAGTGAGTTTTGCAAAACAAAAATGAGAACATGCTGCTCTCCTCTCTGAATTTGGGTACCCCGAGAGTCCCCTGTATTCTTATAATAAATTTTACCATTAAGCTAGCTTTGTCATTTGCAACCAGAGTCCTAATTCTTAAGTTTTGGAGACTCAACGTTCCTTATACACAAAATTCATGGGTCTAGTTGTGATGTTCAAATGAGACAGAATGTGTGAAGCACCAGAAATAATGTAGAACCTCAAAAAATGACCACTCTTTCCTCCTCCCTTCACCCCATCCATTAATATACAGGTAACTTTCAGATCTATATTTCCAGTTGGCATTTTTTCCCTAAACCTCAGACAGTTATCCAATAACCTGGTAAATATCTTCATTTATCTGTCCCAAAGGAAGCTCAAATTGAACAAGTCCAAAAACAAACCTTTGGCCCCAACTTGGCCAGTTCTCTGAGGTCCAATTTCCCAACTTTCTAGTTCCACACTTTGGTGCAACTGATGACTTTGAAGTTATCTTCTATTCTTCCCTGTTCCTCTTGCTTCTTTTCCCCCCACCAACCCCTAAAGCATCCTATTAATTCTCTTCCCTCACAGCCCTCAAAGCATCCTGTTAATTCTCTTCTCAAAGATATTTCTCCAAAGTCCTCTCCTCTCACCACCACTGCTCCTGGGTTAGTACAGGGCCCCTCTACTCTTGAATGACTTCAAAGAAACCTCTTCTTCTACTTTTTATTTCAGGAGAAAAGTCAAATTATTTAGAATGACATGCAAGATGTTTCATGATCTGGCTCTCTCTCTCTCTCTCTCTCTCTCTAGTTTCATCTCTTATCTCTTTCCATACTGTCTGAGTCCGTTTTTCACTGCTATAACCGGTTACTACAGACTGGATCACTTATAAAGAACAGGGGTTTACTTGGCTCACAGTTCTAGAGACTGCGAAGTCCAAGAGCATGGCATTGCATCTGGGAGAGTAAACCCATGGCAAAGGTATCACATTGTAAGGAAGCATGCACGAGAGACAGAGAGAAAATGAGGACCAAACTTATCCTTTTATCAGTATCCCACTCCCGTGATAGCAAACCCACTCCCTCAAAACAGCATTAATCCATTTGTGAGACCATAGCCCTCATGACCTAATCACCTCTTCAAGGTCCCACCTTCCAGTTCTGTTACATTGCCAGTTAAATGTCAACATGAATTTTGGTGGGAAAGTTCACATCACAGCACATACTTTTCCAAGGACCACCCTTACCTCACCCCTCATCAGTTAGCTAACCTCCCACAGCCTTTAAGACTATCTTACCATCTGCTCTAGGAAGCCCAACTCCTGTCAAAGATAGTGTTGCCTTGTATTAATCTCTATTAATGCATTTCACACAATGGGATTTAATTGATTGTTTTTATATGTTTATTCCCTACTAGTTTGTGAGGGCAAGATACTTGTTTTCAAAGATCTGGAACAATAGAGTCCAATAAATGCTAATTAAATGAATGAACATTATCACTTGCATCTCTTTTTTTTTTTTTTTTTGGTGAGACAGGGCCTTTCTCTGTTGCCCAGGCTGGAGTGCAGTGGCACAATCATGGCTCACTGCAGCCTTGATTTCCTCAGCCCAAGCAATCATCCCTCCTCAGCCTCCTGAGTAGCTGGGACTACAAATGTGAGCCAACATGCCTGGCTAATTTTTAAATTTTGTTTTTGTAGAGACAAGGACTCACCATGTTGCCCAGTCATGTCTCGAACTCCTGGGCTCAAGTGATCCTGCTGCCTTGGCCTCTGAAATTGCTGGGATTACAGGTGTGAGCCACTGCACCCAGCTGTGTCACCTTTTACCAGGGGCAGTTGGGACATTCTCTTTCCACTCCTATAACTCAAATGAGTTTCTTTTAGACATCACTTTTATTCTTGGTTTTTATATATTATACGTACATTTAAGGAAAAGTTTTAAGTCTCCATAAAATCATCTTTCTCCTTTTTCTTTATCACATTCTTTTCTAGTCTTTGTTTATATGCATGCATATTTTATTTAGCTATAATCATAGTGGATATAGAAAATTGTTACCGTATTTTTACCTAGCACAACCTAAACACATTAACTTATCAGAACTGTCCTAATTATCTTCTCGATGTTTTTCAAGTACTCTACCTACTTAGCATATAGTATTTTTTTTAATTGTCCTCCTGTGGGATATTGCGCGTGGCCAGCCTTCACCTACTGCGGCTCATTCTTCAATGGCACTTGCTTCTATGTACTGGGCACTAAGCACTTTGTGTCAGATATATTTTTTTTTCTATTTTATAAATGAGGACCTGAAGCTTAGCTTTGTTTAGTCACTTCCTCCAGGTTAGCTAGTAAATATCAGAGGCAGGATTTCAAGTCAAGTGTGCCTAACTCAGAAGATCATATTCTTTACCTCTATAGTATACCACCATGACAACACACACATTTTTCTTCTTTTGGTTAAATTTCTAAGATGAAGTCCCAGAAGAAGAGGGTTTTGTGACTAATTACATGCACTACTGAATGTACCAATACTCGTCACCACTTTGCTAATGCCTTGAAAATGTTTTGAAAATTT